>NC_000002.12:20994603-21146119 GCF_000001405.40 Homo sapiens | reverse complement strand
AATTCAGGAAGTTATCCACAGTCCTCTCTAGAGTAGTGATTATCAACCTTAGCTGTGCATTAGAATCACCAGGAGAGCTTTAAACACCCATTAGTAAAGCCACAGTTCTTGACCAATTAAAACAGAATATTTAATTTTTAATAGGGACCCAGGCGTCAGAGTTTTTTGAAAGCTTCCTTTGTTAATTCCAATGCAAAGCCAAGGTTGAGAACCACTGTAATAGAGTCCCTTTTTTATGCTTTTTTAGTACGTAAGACCCTTTCAAATATTGATGTCTTAGACCAAGAGGAACTACTAAAATCACTTTGCTCTAGACCCAGAGTACCTGCAGGCAATAATAGTGGAAGAGTAATAGAGGTGGTAGGAGCTGAGATAGTAAAGGCAATAAAAACCAGTTATTTTTAATGTCGTTTTCTTGTTTTGTTTTAAGGCTATGATTATAGCAAGTATGGAAATTTATTACTAATCCGTGAAACCATATTTCTTATATTTGTCATAACAAAGTCTTGATTTTTTTCCTTACATATGACTTCAAATTTACGTTCTGAAGTATAATTTAATGTTTGGTTTTCTAACTGCTTTTACAACAGCTACTTTAACTCACTTAGTGATTCACTGTGTGTTAGGAGTGCTATAAGATAGAAGCAGGGACCCAAAGTGGGTTCTTAAAGAATTTGATGGCCAAAAAAAACATAAAAGAAGGTAGACATATACACAGGTATGGGAATAGTAAAGGACCTAAGAGCCAAAATGTATGGTTTGGTGCCAATAGTTTACAGGAAACTCTTCCCCAAGTAAGCTAACTCTTTTCAAAAGGCAGTATAAATAACAAACAAAATCAGTCAGAGAAATCTGAGTTGAATATCTCAGTTCCTTACTTAGCAACTTTAAATTCATGGGCAAGATATTTAATTTCCCTGAGACTCATCCATAAAGTGGTGATAATAGCTTGGAGGAGACTGCTTCTTTCCCACTCCTGATGTTTCCTTCCATGTGGAGGTTCATGGGTGGGGCACTCTCCTAGCATAATACTCCTAGCCTCTTTGCTCTTCTGACTTATGCCTTCCAGAAGTAAGGTCAATCTCACTGGTCCATTTGGAAGGAGAAAGACATATGTTAGATTAGCCTCTTCCTCCTCCTTTTCTTTTTTGGGAGAACTGCCTCAGGCTGTTTTACATGGGTACCCTCCCAAGAAGATTCTCTTGTCTGTGCCTATAACCGTCTGTGTAAGTCTAAATAATTCCTTATTTCATTATTGGTAAGCCAATTTTTCCATGAATATAAGTCAGTCTTCAATATTGTTTTTGGTTTTATTTATTTTGTTTAAGTGCGACATTTTGCTTAAGAATTATCTTTCTCCTTCTGAATAGGTTTATTTGAAAGTGGTTTAAAACTTGAAGTGGAATACTAGTTATTAGGTTCCTAAACCTTTATATCAACATACTTTGTAGAGTTGTAATGAGCATTAAATGAGATAATACATATAAGACTCTTGGGACAGTGCCTGAAGCATAATAAGCACTCAAAATATGGTAGCTGTTTCTATCGCTACCATAACCACTACTGCTATCAGGAAAGATTCAAAAATTAGATAGAAAAGGGGGCCAATTGTAAAGCATTTATCAATTCACTATAAAACATCTAGGTAAAATTCAAATAAAACACCTTCTAACATTACATCAATAAAAACAAGACATTTCCACTCACTGAAAGAGTATAGCCTGTTATGACATTAGTTATAATACAGAATGTGGAATAATATACATTTTATTTATAAAGTCAAAACAAACATTTGCCGGGGAACATTCTTTACAGCCTACAAAATCCTCAGTAACTAATCCATACAGAAAATGAATGTAATGTGGATAAACAAAATCAGACAATACTGTAGTGCATAAAATATTAAAATTTTAACAATATTTTAGTATCAGTTTGACATTTAAAAGACTTAAGAGAAAATATGCTAGTCAGTTTATTTATAAATTTATCTGGTTCAGAAATATGCTAGAAGCACACTCAAAAAACCTAAAGACATTTCATATGATATAAAACTATATATAACAGAAAAATGATTCTTCAAAATAAGCGCAGGAAGCTCACTAATAATAGCAAGATTTATTAACATGAGATCTACAGACATTTAGGAGTTTTATGAAACCCTTGAAATTATTTGTGAAACGTCATGCGTGTGTGCATGCATGTGTGGTTAAAATCTTTCACTACATTCTAAAAACTTCACCATTCAAAAAATGTAAAGATAGTGAAGCAACGTTTTAAAATCGTAGTGGCCACTTCCAGTTCATCCGTTTATCCAGATTTTCTAGTAAGTTTTCCTGCAACATATTTTCAATTTGGATGTTAGTACATGAAAAACTTTTAAAGAATCAAATAAAAAGAATCTACAGAAAATAATCTACTTTATAAAAATGTCTGTTTACCTTTTAAGTGTTCTGTGTTTTTTTTTATTATCATGCAATGTTTTTACTGCTGTTCTCAAGTTCATTGTCTTATTTTCCTGTATTCCTTCAGTTGGTAGTTTTTCAAAAATGTCTTCAACGTGACTGCTGTTCTTCAAACCATCAGGCAGTTCCCAAAATGAAGCTGTTGTACATGTATCAAACAAAATGGTACTCTGGAAATGTTTTCCACTACCAACTTTCTTTCTCACTGTTAAATTTCTAGAATGTGATCTTTTACTAATACGAATTTTCCTTAAGAGGTTCTTACAGACATCTTTCCTCTTTGTAGATTTGTTTACACTTTTGTTTCTCAGTGTATGTAAAATTTATATTTTGTTTTTTGTAACAATTTTGATCTAACAATGGGAAAATAGGCTTACTTTGTAATTTATATTGGATTTTTAGCAGATTCAGTAGCAGTAATTGCATCAAGATGAGGTGAATCTTTAGAATAAGTTGCGAGACCAGATGCAACTAATATATCTGCCAAATTGTTTTTCTCATGAATGACATCTACTTTCAGTTTTGTTTCAGAATGATATTCCCTAAACTGAAAAACTAAGTCTGGTTTACTTAGGAAATCTCGAAAAAAGATTTTGGCTTCTTCACTCCAATGTTTTCCTTTAGCAGGTAAGATACCATATAAAATACATGGATAACTCAGCCTTGGCAAATTCAAAAGTTCCTCAGGAACAACTTTAAGATTTATAATTTCTGAATAACGTATATAAAAAGAAAATCCATAGTCAACCAACACAAGACATAAAGACTGAGGTGAGACTTCAGAAATTTCTACTCTATTCCACTGATCTTCCGATTTATATTTGAACAAACAACTAGAACCGGGAATTATGAACTCCTGAGGCAATGTTTGTAAGGTCTCTGGTAGATCAGAAAGCAACATAAAAAGGTATTTCATTATGTCAAAGAAATCTTCTAACTGAATACTGAAGTCTGATGGATCAGAAACAGCAGTTGCAATACCAGAATACTGCCTATCATTTTGGAATTGAACCCAAGTAAATGATTTTATTGTGCATGATGATACAGGAGTCTTAGATTCAATGTTGTAAACAATTTCTGCAAGTCTAAGTTTGTTTTCTTCAACAGGAACTGTATTCAAATTTAAGTATTCCAAAAGTAACAGGTCATCTACCAAAATTTCTACTTCCCAAACAGCATCTAAATATTTCAGGAAAAGAATATTTATTTCCAAATCAGCAAATAAGCACTCAAATGATATGTTCTTAGAATTTTCAAACCAAATCCATTTACAAGGTACAGCTTGTCTAGGAATGTTTCTTATTTCATTACTAAGCAGCTTGGTATTACATACAGGTACTATTTCATAGATACCACAATCTACTAAAAAAACAAGTACTTTATCATCAACATACTTTTCTTCTACTTTTGATCGATGCCATTTCAAGGTATTTTTAGATTTTGCCAAGCATTCTAAACCTTTTTCAATACTTTCCATTGATAAAAAAGGGGATTTTTTTTCTTCTTTCGTAATTAATACTATTAAATCTGATAAAATTTTTTTATTTTTGGATAACTTCACATAAAATCTTCCACTTTTTGAAACATTAAGCATTTCAGCTTTTTCAAGTTGTCCAAGTTTGAATTCTTCCAAAGGAATTTTAAACAGCTGTTGGTTTGAATTCATAGAACCTTCAGACTCATTTGATTTTCCTTTCTTCATTTCATTATCACCTGGCCTCACCTTTTGAGAGAGAACCTGAGGCATCTGCAATGCTGACTTCTGCAGTTTTGAACATGCTTTCCATTTCAGTAGTTCATTAATGACACATTTTTCATCACAAATCATATTTACTTCCCATTTCTGATCATGCTTTTTCAAAAATTCACAATAAACTGTTTTGTTATGTACTTTCGAAGTAAAATAATCCACAGTTTTGTCATCCCATATTTCATCAGGCTCATTCCATTTTACTCCACTAAGAAAAGCATGGATTCCTAGCTGAGGAACAGTTAAAAATTCCCTCTGAAGTTCGTAAATTTTAGATGTGTTTACTATTGCAGAGTTACCATAGTCAATAAATTCTACTTCAAAAGAATTTCCTGGCAAAATTTTCTTAATAACTGCCCTGTAAATGGCATTGTCACCAGAATATTCTGCAACTACAAGATCTCCCACTAGAGGTTTAACTGATTTTCTCTCTCTCAATCTCCTTGCTGTTGCATTTAGAGCATCAGCAAGTCTGATAATTACACTTTCATTCTCAGCAAGCTGAATATGGAAATTCGCTGGATTACTGATATTAGATACATACCCTTTAACTTTGGCATTCAAATAAATTTGCGGTTGAGGAAGGTCTTTGATCTGTGGCCTAATAAGGTCATATGGGTTTTGTGAGGTTGTTTGATTTAATGCTCTGATAAAAGACTGTGATACAACCTTTACTGATTTTTGGCCCACACGCCTGTTCTCAAGAATATGTGCAGCTCCAGGGACAATTTTTATACCTTTAAGCCCATCATTCAAAGAAGTCTTCATTTTGTTTTTTGACACAGGTTCCATTTTATAACAAACTGATGGCTTCAAAAACCTGGCATGTATATTTTTGGGATGCATCAATTGGTCTATTTTTCTTTCGGAATATGTTACTGGACTAGGTTTATTTATCACATTATGGCGATAGTTGTTTCCTGTTTTGCCTTTCAAAGAAGTAGTAAATCTCTTATTCTCATTTATTTTATTACTCTTTTCCATGCAGCATGCTTGGTCACAATGTCTTTTTCCATAAGCATGAAGCAACACTTTAATTTTCTCATTTATATATTGAGATCCATCATACAATTCTATACCAAGCTGTCCATCTGACTCCTGGGACAATATTATCGCCTTTAATGATCTTCCCAAGAAATTGTCTTTAAACCAACTACTGATTTCTGCTGGAATATCTACATCCCTAAGATCTGACAAAAAACACTTAATAGCTTGCATAGGTGTAAACAACAACTCTGGAAACTGAGCTGAAATGGCCCTCAACATATTTTCTCCTACTAATTGCTTATTTCCAAAGTCTACAAAATAGACTTGAAACTCAGATGATGAATCTGTTGGTATTGCTAAAGCTCTGTATGAGAGACCATCCTCTACATACTTAGATATGCACACTCTCATTTTATTAGAATCATATTTTGGAAAATTTTGGAGGTTAACACTCTCTGTGATTTTTGTTTCTATCATCTCTAGATCTTTATTATTTCTGCCAAGCTGGCAATAAAACTTTTGGGGACTATATATGTGAGATATATATACTTCTTCTTCACTTCCAATTTGTATATTAAAGGAAGAATAACAGTAACTGTAAAGACTAAATAAAGATGGGAATGTCTCTGATAATGTGATATACTGAGCAGAGCCACGATTCATAAGAAATTCTTTTGCACTAGTAAATGAGGACTGTAAATCCACTAAGTTATATAAATGGTTTGGATGTATAATAACTAAGGCATAGATGATACAAGTCAATAACCCTCTAGATGAAGAGATAAAATTCCACAAGTCTCTGAATGCTTTTCTTGTCCAACTGAATAATTTACAACTAACAGGCTCAATAAAATGGTTAAGACAACATCTGAAGGCTTGGCTTTCTAACAAGAGAAAACGTGGGTTAATTGCACAAAGATCTTCAATTAAAACCCTTTTTTGGTAACCATAATCAACAAACACTATGTCAACTTCTTTTGATACTTGAGTCAAAACAGCAGCTCTACACCACTTCCCAGAATACTTAGCAACACAAGCAGTCTGCCCAATCTCATAAGGATCAGAATGAATACTATAGTAATTCTGAATTTGCTCCATTAGTAATTTTAGGTCTTCTGACTTACATTGGAGCTGGCATGAAAAGTCACCTGGGCCATAATAACAGGAACATTTAACTTCAAGAACTGTTCCTGGTCTAAAAATATATTCTTTATAAGGCCAGGATGACTCAGGTCCCACAGACAAGGTGAAAGGATTTTTAAATTCTGAGATATTAACAGCTAGGGACTTTGGCAAAGACAAGTTATTTTCCACCAGGTTATTTGAATGGTACTTTTTAGATTTAGGTCCTTCAAGAAGGGCAGATATGACTTTTTTAATATTAACTTTGTTTTTAGATTCTGAATTTAGCATTGAATATTCACTTACAGATTTTGGAAAATATTCTAGTTCTACTTGAAAATATTCTGCATATCCAGCTTGTAACATAAGAGAGATAACATCAATATTTTCTGAGGCTTCAACACTTTGAATATTTACAGTGTACTTGTCATCTTTTTTTGCTATAACCTGAAGCAAAATTGCTTTGTTCAAAACTAATTTTTTAAAATAATCAATTGCAGCCTTAGTCCATAAATCTTCAACAGGAAATATATGTGCAAGTGAACAGCACATCGCTAAGGCAGGCAACTCACAAAATTCTGGAAGCAAAATTTTTACATCAAAAAATGGTATGGAATCAGTATTACCATAATCCAAAAAATAAACATTAATCTTATAACCATTAATTTCAGTGATGACAGCTCTGTAAAAACGTCTGTCCTTGCTATATCTAGCACAACAAAATAATCCAGGTTCAGGTTTTCTTAGAATCATTTCATCGTTTTCACACAAATCATAAAATTTGTTTATGTTTTTCATTATTTCTTGAAATTCATTCCGATGGTCATTAGTGCGTACCCAGAAATTTGATGGGTTTAATACATATGCTATAAAAGCTATGTAGGCAGCCTCTATCTCCATTTGTACTGTTTTAATGGGAAAACCTACTTTTAAAATGCCTTTTTTATTTAGAGAGTCTATTGACCATTCAATATTTCCCATAAAACTCTCAACTGCAAAGCTGTTTACATCAGACACACTTGTCTCACTCAAGATATTGGAGATTTTTGAATCAGACATCGGACAAAGTACTTGTGTGCCTA
Source organism: Homo sapiens (assembly GCF_000001405.40). Lineage (NCBI taxonomy): Eukaryota > Metazoa > Chordata > Mammalia > Primates > Hominidae > Homo > Homo sapiens. The sequence goes on along the minus strand of NC_000002.12, from coordinate 21,138,716 downwards.
CAGTCTTCAGTAGACACTTAGAATTAACTGTAGACTCTTGAGTTTGTAATGTCACATAATACAAACACTCATCCTTATTGAACCAATCAATGTGTGCATATACCACTTGTCCTAATAAGGCCTGTTTAAATATACTCAGTTGAAATATTCTTGCATCTCTATCTGGACTGTGCAAACATGTCAGAGAACATGGAAATGAAAATAATGGTACTAAAATAAAATCCTGTTTAAGTTTCTTTACATAAATTGAGGGTATAGCCTCGCTACTGCCATAATCCATAAACCAAATTTTTACTTGATTTGGGGGCAAGAGCTGCTGAAGAATTCCTCTATGCCACTGTCCATTTCGCCTTCTGGCAACACAAAGCAGTCCAAAATTATCACACGTGGGACTAGTTTCTTGACAGACGGTATCATAATGCAAAGTCATATGTGCTGTCAAGTTTTCTAGCTCTGGAGTCCATTTAATTAACTGACAATAAAATTTACTTGGGCTCAATGCAGATGATACCTTTACACTTTCAGTACTTCCTACTGACAAAGATGGCTGCAACTTATCCAGAACATGCTGAATATCAAGTGAAGTATCTTTATTACCTAATGACAATTCAGGCCTTTTATGTTGTAATAAATCTGGCATTTGTTGAGGGAATTCTTCTAACATTTCCACAATAAGACGAAATGAATCTCCATCAACAAGTCTTCCTAATTGTAACTCGAGAGCCTGAGATATAATTTTTGGCACTTCAAAAAGAAACATTTGCAGAGGTAAAATAGCTTGCACATAACCTTTCACTTGTATTCCTACTAATGACTTGAAATAATTCAAAGCTTTAGGGGACCATTTTTCCCCAACTGGTAGTATATTCGCAAAAATACCAAATACTACCCGTGGCGGTAGCTCAAATAAATTGCCACAGGCTGAAGCAATCTGTGGACCAGCAACTCTTAGTTCTTCTCCGCGATCTATGAGGAGCACTGTATAGAGTTCATTTTTCTTTTCCATGACTCTTCCTCTCTGCCATTCTCCAGATACTCTTTCTTCCACCAAACAAAATTCATCAATTTCCACATTATTTTTCACTTTTGGAGTATGTTGTATTTCTCTCTGCAATACATGGTAGTCAAACTCACATTCATTACTCTTTATGCCTTGAAATTTCACCAGAATATCCTTGGGAAGACATTTAATATGTGATATTGTCAGATCCACATCTAAAAATGTTGGTAAGAAAGATGTAGAATCCATTTTCTAAAAAGCAAATAATAATTACTCATTAGCTATCAAAGTTAACTGCAATTAGCCTTATGTTTGGCATATAAATATAAAACTAAAAATAATTATATGCCTGTATTTTATCAAATTTAAACATGTTGATAAAAATTATACATATCGAATGAGACGCTGGTGAAATAAACAAAATCTAACATTCACTGCTTTCTATACTTTTAAAATTTTTCATTGAAATAATTACAAAAACTTTTTTTAAATAGGAAGAATACCATCACTGGAAAACAGAGAGGAGCAACCTTTATTTTCCAGAAACTTTAACAAATTCCAGCTGGATATTGGACAGATGTGGTGTAATGAAAGGAGCTAAATTAGCCTCACTGGGGACCTCCTTCTCCTCCTGTGAGACAACCACTTTCCTTCATGCAAACTCTTTCCAACAACCTATAACTCAAAGAGTTGAGTGCTAGAAGGGCAGATGGTGAACCAAAAAGGGGCACACTGTTTTCACTCCCCACTCTGTGCGGAACTCGCAATATTTGGACTCTATCGGCATCATTATACAATCCCGGGATTCATCTTTGATTGAGGGAAATCAGCTGAGACCTGGACACCACTAAGGGAAGCTAAGCATAGAAAGACACTGAAGTAGGTTAGGTATATCCAGACCTTATCACTGGCATGACTGGCCACAATAAGTGGAAAAGGGAAGGAATCTATAGCATCAAGGCAAAATTTTCTACCATAGCTAATCTGTGGATTTTTAGGATTCTAAAAATAAGGCAAATATTCAAGAAATACAAATAATCCCCAATTTCAGGCAAGAACCATCATCTACTGTGACAGAATACAGCTAAACTCTTCCTTGACTCTGAGTTAACAGTTGACAGGCATTAATTTATTTCTATGAGGATGAGTAAGAGAAAAACATTGGATGCCTTCCCCCTCAAAATGAGGGAACCTCTTAAAAGAAACCAAGGAAATGCTACTCCATAGAAATAGATGTACTGAAAGAAATAGCAAAGTCCTGTTCTCAAAAAGGTCAAAAGGTGAAAACATAACAACTGATATTAGGATGAACTATACACACATGATAGATTTCAAAGTATAATGGGAAAATAAAACCTAAAATAAAAATAAATTAGAAGAAAATTTTGACTAAATACCCCAAAGCTCAGAGGAAAAAGATAAAAAGATGAAAGAGGAGTATGTAGGGACAGAATATAAAGTCTCACCAAAGTCTAAATGTTTTCATTATTTAGTCACAGGCCTTCACCCAATTCCCACACTTTACTCAGTTTATAGCCCCATTAATTCCTTACATGAAGAAACAACCAGGTACTCTCAAAGAATCCTGTACTGGATTATACCAAAACTGTCTTCCTGGCATTCACCTGAAGGGCCCTGTGATCATTCACATGGGCATATGGGAAAGAAAAAATTTACATACATCTTTCAGGAACCATGCCACCCTTTTTCATGTATAAAAAGTAGAGGTACCCAGAAGATCTCCTTCATTAAACAGAGGTGGTATATACAGTACATAGAAGACAACCAAGCCCAAAGGCACAAGGAACTTTTTAAATAGGTTACTCAAACTATCAAAAACCTACTCCTCCACGTCACTATCTCTCCCTCAAACAATACAGATGGACTCCTGGGGAATTCCACATCAGAAGGGGTAAACATCTGGTTTATACATGGCTCTCACTTAATGCCAGTAACATCCAGAAATAGACTGCTGAGGCATTACACCCCAACCCGGGTGTGGGGGTGGGAATGGGGGTAGGGTGGCAGACTAAGAAATGAAAGAAAATCTTCACAGTAGAAAGACCTACCATTACATCTACTTTGCCTAAAGAAGAAATTGCTTGAGTTAATAACCTATGCATATTAATATGCAATGGCTAATAGTTTCTGCAAGATGATTAGGAATGCTGAAGGAACAAGACTGGAAGACTTATTACAAAAACGTCTGAAGAAGAGGTATGTGAATGAGCCTCTATAAATTGGCACATAGGAAAATTTTAGGTCCCATGTGATACTCACCAGAGGGCCCCACAATGAAAAAAAATTCTTCATCAGGTAGACAACATAACCTATCCTGTGGATGTCAGTCAAACTCTTTCACCTGCCTCTACAATGCTTACTAAATAGGGTCATGAAGAAAGTTCCCAGTGTCATGGACAAAGCTCCTACCCTTGGGCATCTAAAGACCAAATGAAAATAATTCAAAGAAAATTCAGGTGTATATATACACATCTTTTTTATTATAGATATTTATATATATAAAAATATGTATATATCTTTTTATTATATCTTATATATAAAATATATTATATAAATATATAATATTTAATACATAATATATTTTATATTATATATAAAATTTAGAACTAAACTAATTGTTTATATATAAATATAATTATTTATATATATAAATTGTGTATAAATATAATTATACACAATTTATATATAAATACAATTTATATATAAAATTTAAAACTAAACTAATTATTTTACACAATGAACAAATGTATTACTTTAAAGACATAATTTAAATCAAGATGTTCTAGATCCAACCCTTATTCAAATATGATAATCCTTAGAAGACTATTATATCACAGAAAGTACTTACACTGTATACACAGGATTCAGATATCAGTACTCAATTAATTGTGTGAAATTTGGGAAACTATTTTTCCTTAGAATCAGACTCTAAATCTGTAAAATGAAAAGTTTAATTAAATTAGGATTTTTCAAACTATTTTTCTGCAGCAGAAATCTTAAAATGTAAAATGCAAAAGATTTTTTTGCAAAAATCAAAATACCTATAAAATGGATTCATTAGTGTTCTAACAATTTCATACATTTATAAAATTTTGAAGTCAGTAAATGAGACTAATAAAGTTATTCTATTAAAAACAAGCCGATAGCAGCCTTATCATATAATTTGACTTATTATGATGTTTGATAGCACAGTATCGGGAAAATCAGGCTCACAAATATGGAACAGTCTACCTGCTTCCAAAATCATACATGATCCAACACAGAGTCAAACAAAAATATGGGATAGCCACAACTTAAATAATCAATGAGTTAATCTAATGGCACTAACTAGTGCTCTTTTCTGCTTTTAAATTTAGTATATAATATTTGAATGTTTTATATAAAAATTATATTTTAAAAAATCAAATTTAAATCCAAAGTTCCCAAACACCTGAATTAAATCTAAATAAAAAATACACAGCATCACAGTTCCCCTGAGGTTTGAGGAAAATATAATCTACAAATACTATTAAAATTGATAGAGAAAACCCTTTCTATACTAAAATTCCCTGATTCTATAGAATATATATTATAGATAATGGCACTCATTGGAGTTTATCTTCTATAAATTAACATCAAACAAGTCCAGACCAGTAAAGTCCACTAGAAACACAATTGAGCCATATATATAAAGTAATCCAGTAACACCATTTAAAAGTAATTAAAGAGACAAATGAAATTAACTTTCATAATCTACTTTAACTCAATACATCCAAACTATTATCATTTCAACATGTAATCAACATAATATTATGATATTTGATTTCTTTTTAATACTAAGTCTTCAAACTATGGTGTACATTTTACACTTAGCATACATCTCAATTTGGACTAACCATATTTCAAATGCTCAATAGCTATATGTGGTTAGTGACTACAGTATTTCAATGTACAGGTCTAGAACTATGATACAATTTTAAGTTTTAAATATAAATTTTGTCAAAAATCTTAAAGCAGGTAAAATAATAGTTCCTTGTATTAATAACTCCTTATAATGCTTTAAATTTTTTAAAGGTTTTAGTACACTAGTTTAACTGATCTTCACAATAAGATCCTTCATTTTTCGGACCACAGAACTGAAGATCAACTGAAACCGAAATTGATCAAAATTGAAATCTAAAAAGAGATTTAGGTTTCTGATTAGGTTTTCTGATTATCAGTCCAGTTCACTATGTACATTATTTCATTTCCACTGCTTTACACTGTTGTTTCAACTAAAGTACATAATCATGGACAAGAGCCAAAATAAAAATGAAAGATGCAAATACAAAAGAAAAAAACCCACAAAAACAAACAAGCAAAGCACCATTCTGGGACAGAATCTGCTTAATAATTCTTCCTTTTTCAAAATTTAAGGTCATTCTGCTCAAACTTTGGCCAGTATTCTGGCAAGGTCACTATGTTCCAAAAGACTGCAAGTTGAAGCATCTGTGCTTTGGTTTTCCTCCTCCCATCTTTTCCACATATTCAGAATAGTCTCTAGATTCACCTTGTTAATGACACTGATGTGATGAAAATAAAACTGGATATACTATTTGAGTATGCATATTTCAGAATCAGGGCTTCATTTTTTTTAACATTCTTTACTGAAGTTCACAACTAGGAGCAATTTTTTCCCCAAGGGAACATCTGGGGGCATCTGGAAATACATTTAGTTGTCTTAACTGAGGTAGGAAGTGAGTGCTACCAATATCTAGTGGGTAGAAGCCAGGGATGCCGCTGAATATCCTATAATGCACAGCAGAGCACATTCTTCCACAAACAAAGAATTATTCAGCCCAATATGTCAACAGTTCTGAATCTGAGAAACTCTGCTTTAGTGAGAGCAAAAATAAATACCAGGTAGATAAAAGAACTAATTTATTAAAACTATCTAAAAGAATTAGAAGAAAATACAAGAATATTTTTCTAATCTTACTAAGGGAGACATCTTTTAGAAGACAAAACCCAGAGGTCATAAAATTTTTTTAATATATTAATTTTGTTAACTATAGGCAAAAAATGAAGCTATAAACAACATTAAAATCAATTTAATTTACTGCATGAAGGATTTTCTCAAGCCAAATATCTTCATCATCCATGACCCCACTATCATTCCACTCACAATCCACCAGGAAATTCTACTGGGTTCATCTCCAGAGCATATAAAAATCTGACACTTGCAATTCTGCTGCCACAATCCTGGCCTAAACTATCTTCCCCTGTCATCTGTAATACTACCTTCCTCACTAGTCTTTTAGCCTTAACTCCACCCCATCCCAACCTGTGAATATTCTTAGCATTGTAACCAGAGTGATCTTTTTAAAATATAAGATACAATATGCTAAGAGAGAAAAAAAAAATCAGTGGCTTCTAATTTCACTGAGTGAAAACTAAAGCCATCAAAAATGGCTTTATGAAGTCCGACAGAGCTAACCATCACCACCACCACCACCACCAAAACCTCCCGTGTTTTCTATTACCTTATTTCCTATTACACTCCCATCACTTATTACACTGAAGCTGCAATTCCTCCCTTGACATTGCGTGAATCTTTTCACCTCTGGGCTTTGGGCTTAACTGCTGTCAGAGCACAGCTTGCTTCGTCACTTCCTCCAAGTTTTGGTCAGAAGATCCCCTTCTAGGTGACGCATTCCCTGACTACTCTAATTAAAACTGTAACCTCCCACAAACTTAATAGTCCCTAGCCCCTCCCTACCCTCTCTACCAAAAGCAACAAAAAAGTTATATTAAACTAGTGGTTCTCAAACCTTTGTTCTCAGGACACATTTATAGTCCTATAAATCACTGAAGATCTCAAAGAGTTTTCATTTATGTAACTTATATCTACCAACGTTTATCATTTTAGAAATAAAAATAGAAATTTAAAATATATTTAATTCATTTAAAAATACTAAACCCACTAAAAACACAGATATTTTCATGAGAGATGGTTATATTTCTTAAAACCAAAAAATTAGTGAAAAGTGACATGGTTTTGTAATTTTTACAAATCTCTTCAATGTCTGCTTAATAGAAATTAAGCTGGATTCTCATATCTGCTTCTACATTCAATGTGTTGCAATAGGCTATTCTGGGTGAAGGATGTGAAGAAAAGCTAGCTATACACAGATACGTAGTTGGAGAAGGAAGGAGAACGTTAAAAGCTTTTTCATATAACTGAAGACGTTCTTTGATATGCACAACAACTCAATGAGTAGTAGTTTCTTCGAAGTTAGTTTACAATGTGGAATATAAAATCATAAGGGAACTTTTTGTATTATCTTAAAATCCACTGGCCTACCTATCTTGTACTTTGAAATTTTTAAATATGCATGATTTTATAAGATATCACATGGATTAATTTGAAAATATTGGTTAGATGTACAGATCTTCCATATGTCGACATATTACATTACCTAACATCCCCAAACAAAACTGATTGGTATCACCAGCAATCTCATCAGAAAAGTCATCAAATTTGGGGATACCATCAAACTCAAAATGGCAGACATAACTTTCCTGACTTTTCTAATTTTTGCTTTAAAACTTGGATTTTATCATTGACAGATACTGTCAGTTGTTTTCCTTAAAGTGAGGAGCTTGCTTCAATGTGCAAAGTACCCAAATCTGACTCAGTTTGCTACACTGGTTTGCAACTCAACTAGTTACATCAAATGCTTTTCCTAGAGTCGATCTGCACAGTTCAGTATCAACAGAAGTGATTTTATGAGTACCTCCCATTTCACCACATGGAATATTAAAAAGACATATTTTCAAGGATCATGCTTTAATATCATTCATTTTTACTGCTAGATCAAGGACATTTTAAAGTGAAACTGCCACCTTTTTTATTGCAAGTGTTTGGTAGTAAATAATACAATGACTACCAATAGTTTGGTGCCATTGCCTTGATTCACAGCGAGGTGCCAGCAGTTTTATCCACCATTGCTTTTGCACCATCAGTGTCAACATTAACACACTGAAAAAGGTAAACATTGACAAGATGCCAAGTTTATTCACGGGGAAATAATATTTTCAATAAATGGTCCTGAAAAAAAAATGGATACCCACATGCAAAAGAATGAAGTCAGACCCCGACCTCACACAATATACACAAGATGTTCTCAGACTTACGATGGTTCGACTTCAGATTTTTCAGCTTTACAAGGAATTTTGGGGGATATAACCCCATAGAAATCTAAAAGCTCCTCACAACTTAAAAAGGAGGTACAGTTTCTAGTGAATGTGTATTGCTTCCGCACTACTGTAAAATTGAAAATCCTAAGTTGAATCATGGTAAGTCAGGGACCATCTCTTTTGTTGCCAGCATTAAATGCATCTTCAGCTTACAGTATTTTCAATTTACAATGAGTTTATCAAGATTTAATCTCATTGTAAGTTGAGAAGCATCTGCACAAAAAGCAACTGAAAATGGATAAAAAACCTATGGGTAAGAACTAAAGCTGTCAATTCCTTAAAAATTTTGAAATAAATCTTCATGACTACTATGGTTTAAATGTTTGTCCCCTCCAAAACTCACATTGCAACTTAATCATTGAGATGTGGGACATTTAATAGGGGTGAATAGGTCAGGAGGGTACTGTCCTTATGAATTAATTAATCCATTCATGGGTTATCGGGTTATCAGGGAGTAGGATTGGTGGTTTTATAAGAAGAGGAAGGACTTGAACTAGCATGCTCACCCCCTGTCCACGTGATGCCCTGTACCACCTCAGGACCTGCAGAGTCCCCACTAGCAAGGTGGCTCTCACCAGAGGTGGCCCCTTGACCCTGGACTTCTCAGTCTCCATAACTGTAAGAAATAAATTCCTTTTCTTTATATATTACCCAGTTTCAGGTATTGCTATAAGGAACAGAAAACATATCAAGATGTGTTAGGCAATGGCTTCTTAAATATGGTTCCAAAAGCACAAGTAACAAAAGATAAAAAAAACAGATCAATTGGACCATCAAAGTTTAAAAAAAACTTGTACTCCAAAGGACCCATCAGAAAAGTGAAAAGTCAACCCTGAAAATGGCAGAAAATATCTGCAAATCACCTATCTGATAAGGGGCTTAATGCACAATATATGTAAAGATCCCAAACTTAACAATGGAAAGACAATGCAATCTAAAAACAGGCAATGGATTTGACTACATATTTCTTCAGAAAAGATACATAAAAGGCCAATAAGCATATAAAAAGATAGTCAACATCATTAGTCACTAGGAAAACAAACTGCAATGAAATGCCACTTCAGACACACTAGGATGACTGTATTTTAAAAACCAAACAATTACAAGCGTTAGCAAGAATGTAGACAAATTAGAACCCTCCTGCAATCTGCACCTGTAAAACGGTACAGCCATTTTCAAAAAGTTTGGTGATTCCTCAGAAAGTTAAAACAGCAATTCCATTACTAGATATAGACCAAAGAAAACTGAAAACACATCCACACAAAAATTTGGACAGGACCATTCTTAGTAGCATTATTCCTAACAACTAAAAGTGAAAACTACCCAAATTTCATCAACTGTTGAAAGAGAAACACAATGCCATAAATACAAAAATTAGTGGGGCATGGTAACGTGCACCTCTGGTCCCAGCTACTTAGGAGGCTAAGGTGGGAGGATGGCTCGACCCTGGGGAACAGAGATTGCAGTGAGCCAAGATCCTGCCACTGCACTCCAGCCTGGTAGACAGAGCAAGACTCTGTCAAAAAAAAAATAAATAACAATAACATTTTTTAAAGAAAACACTTGTTTTCCCATGGATTATATTAAGTGACAGTGATTTTTCCTTCTGATTTTTCCACTTCGAATTTCTCTATAAATGGCCATACATTTCTTCTCTGACAGTGAAGAAAAAAAAAAAAAGAAACAAAATTCTTTTCAAAATGCCATAAAGTTAGAAGAAAATTTAGAAAAACATTTGAAATATTTTAGGATAAGGTGGACAATCTTAAGAAAGATAGAAACCCAAAAACCATAAAAGGAATGAAGAACACAGTTAAGTACATATATGCTAAAATTGCTATACAGAAAAGAATACAGGCCGGGCATGGTGGCTCATGCCTGTAATCCCAGCAATTTGGGAGGCTGAGGTGGGTGGATTGCGAGGTCAGGAGATCGAGACCATCCTGGCTAACACGGTGAAACCCTGTCTCTACTAAAAATACAAAAAATTAGCCAGGCGTGGTGGCGGGCGCCTGTAGTACCAGCTACTCGGGAGGCTGAGGCAGGAGAATGGCGTGAACCCGGGAGGCAGAGTTTGCAGTGAGCTGAGATCACGCCACTGCACTCCAGCCTGGGCGACAGAGTGAGACTCCATCTCAAAAAAAAAAAAAATTATATGAATAGACAAATGACAGATTTAAAAAAAAAACCATAACATGGAATATAGATAAAAAGCATCCTTAACATAAAAATATGTTCCATATCACTAGTATGGGGGAAAGAAGAATGAAAATTCCTCTTCCATGTACTGTATTAGGAAAAACATAAATGAATGATTATATCCAGAACAAACAAATACGTGGAGAATGAAAGTTCATAGGTTCCAGGTAAGAGAATAAATTCTTATAATATTTTTGTCATGTAAACTTATAGTACCATTAATCTTGAAGTCCTCACATCTTTTGATACCAAGATTACTCTTGGTAATCTATCCTTATGAATATAAGAATACATACTGAAAGATGTTTGTTGAAACACTTACAAAATTAAAACTATAAAACACTGCTAAGAGAAATTAAAGATGATGTAAATTAATTTTAAGGTATCAATTCTCCCCAAAGTCACCTACAGAACTGACATAATCCCAATCAAAATCCTGGGATGCATTTTGGTAGAAATTCAAACGCGATTCTAAACCTTTTATGGAAATGCAAAGGAACAGAACGGTCTAAATAGGTTATAAAAAAATAAACTGAAAAAGATTAAAATTTGAGAACTTATGCTTACCTGAGTTTAAGACTAATTATAAAGTTACAGCACTCAAGACACTGTGGTACTGGTGTAGTACTGGTGTGGAAATATAATTCACTGGAACAGATCAGAATGCAGAAATAAGACCTAGATAAAGTCAATAAAAGATAAAATGATTTTCAACCAAGGTGCCAGCAATTCGACAAATGATGCTGTAACAGCTGGATAGCCATACGCTTAAAAGAGGGAAAAAAACTGACCATATGCAAAAATTTATTCTAAATGGAATATAAACCCACATATAAGAACTAAATGTATAAAACTTCTCAGAAAAAAACAGAAAATCATAGGTACCTTGACGTGGCAAAGACATCTTAAATAGGACACAAAAAATTCAAACTGCTAAAGAGGGACAAAATCAATACATCAAAGTTTATCAAAATTAAAATATTTTGCTCCTCCAAAGACACAATAAAAAGACTAAAGGCAAGCCTGAGAGAGTGAGAAAATACTTACAAAACATATAGCCTAGAACCTGTCTCTAAAATATATAAAGAACTTTTACAACTCAATAATAAAAAAAAAATCCAATTTAAAAATAGGTAAAAGATTTAGCAGCCACTTTACCAAAGAAGATTTATTGATGGAAAATTCGCATTTGAAAAAGATGCTTAATATCATTGTTATCAAGAAAATGCAAATTAAATCGCACTAAGATAATACTTCACATCCACTAGAATGGCTGAAATTAAAGGGCAACCGTACCAAACACTGGTGAGGGTATAGAATAACTGCAAAGGTCACAGACTTCAGAAAGAACTGTAAAACGATAGAAACACTTGGAGAACAGTTTGGAAGCTTCTTTAAAAGTTAAATATATACCATATGCCTTCCACATGACCCAGTCATTCCACTTCCGAGTATTTACTCAAGATAAATGAAAGTATATGTCCATACAAAAACTTGTAGGAGACTGTTCACAGCAAGTTTACTTGTAAGAGCCAAAAACAAAACAACCCAAATGTTTGTCAACACAATAAACAATGGAACAATACAATAGTCGTAACGCATAAAATGGAAACTATCCAACAATAAAAAGGAATGCTGTAACCCCAGCACTTTGGGAGGCCAAGGCAGGCGGATCACCTGAGGTCGGGAGTTCAAGATCAGCCTGACCAACACAGAGAAACCCCGTCTCTACTAAAAATACAAAATTAGCCGGACGTGGTGACGCATGCCTGTAATGCCAGCTACTCGGGAGCCTGAGGAAGGAGAATCGCTTGAACCCGGGAGGCAGAGATTGCGGCGAGACGAGGTCCCACTATTGCACTACAGCCTGGGCAACAAGAGGGAAACTCCGTCTCAAAGAAAAAAAAAAAAGAATGAAACACTGATACTCATAAAAACATGGATGATTCTCAAAGTAATTATGCTGAAACACAAAGAGGCAGAATACACATTTTATGAGTCCATTTGTATAACATCCTAGAAAATGCCATTTAATCTATAGTAACAGAAAGATCAGTGATTGACTTGGATAAGGGGAGCGCAGGTTCGAGTGGGACCAAAGGAAACCTTTGAAGGTGATGGATATGCTTACGATGTCGTTTATAGTGGTTTCATAGAGTATACATGTGTCAAATGTCAAATTGTACACTTCAAATATGTGTAGTTTGTTATATCTCAGATATACTTCACTAAAGCTGTAAGACACACAGACACACACACACACACATACACACACACATGCACAACCTGAATGTTCATTAATGGAGGAACAGAATAATTCACAGAGGACTTATTTTAATATTTGTAATTACTAATAAAAAATTTCTATTGGCTCTGATGAATAGGTCTTAAGAATCCTGTACAATTTGGGAGGAGGTCAGAGTAATATAAAAAAGGTACTAAAATGATATCTTACGTGTATACATGAATATGTGTTCATATACAAATAGAGGAAAGTGTGACGGGTATGTATCAAACAAATAAATTAGGAGATGGAACTGGAAAAAGAGTTCCAGAGGGTAAAAGGTAATTCACTTTACCCTCTGCTTTAGCTGACATGCTGTAAAGAGCTTATACTTCTTGTTAATTTCAAAAGGTTAGAAAAATTGAATGTATACCAAAGTGGTACAACAATTAAGTGACTCATCAAAAATAAATTTCTTCGGAAAAACACCTCCACACCCTAACTCTCTTTATGTCTTTTGGTCTACACTAACTCACTCTCTCTCTCACGCACACACACACACGCAACAACTCACACACAACTTGGCATTAGGATCTCTCACACTCACACACACACACACACACACCCTGGCATTCGGATCTCTTCCTAACACAACCCTAGCATTATATCTCGCACACTCACACACACCCTAGCTTAGAATCTAATTCAAACACACACCATGGCATTACAATCTCTTTCTCACACATACCCTGGCATTAGGATCGCTCTCTCTCACACACAGACGCTAGAACTAGGATTTCTCTCACACACAACCTGGCATTGGGATCTCTCCCTCACACACACATCCTAAAATTAAGATTTCTCTCACATTCACACACACCCTGACATTAGGATTTCTCTCTCACACACACACCCTGACATTAGGATTTCTCTAACACACACCCTGGCATTAGGGTCTCACACTCACACACCCTGACATTAGGGTCTCTCTCACACTCACACACCCTGACATTAGGGTCTCTCTCACACACACACCCTGACATTAGGATTTCTCTCACACTCACACACAATATTAGGATCTCTCAGTCATGCTCACACACCCTGGCATTAGGGTCTCTCTCACACACAACCTGACAGGGTCTCTCTCACACTCACACACCCTGACATTAGGGTTTCTCACATACACACACACTCTGGCATTAGGATCACTCTGTCACACACACACACACACACACACCCTGGCATTAGGATCACTCTGTCACACACACACATACCCTGGCATTAGGATCACCCTGTCACACACACACACACGCACACACACCCTGGCATTAGGATCACTCTGTCACACACACACACACGCACCCTGGCATTAGGATCACTCTGTCACACATACACACACCCTGGCATTAGGATCACTCTGTCACACACACACACCCTGACATTAGGGTTTCTCTCACACACACACACCCTGGCATTAGGATCACTCTGTCACACACACACAACCTGACATTAGGGTTTCTCTCACACACACACACCCTGGCATTAGGATCACTCTGTCACACACACACACACACACACCCTGGCATTAGGATCACTCTGTCACACACACACACCCTGACATTAGGGTTTCTCTCACACTCACACACCCTGGCATTAGGATCACTGTGTCATACACACCCTGGCATTAGGGTCTCTCTCACACTCACACACAGCCTGGCATTAGGATCAGCCATCATTGACCCCATGTGCTGGGTGCTCCCATCTCTGATAACTGCATTTTTCGAGGAAGGGCTGCTGCTCCCGGGTGGGAGGGCTGAATCTGAGCCGCCGCCGCCATTAGAGGTAGGGAGAACAGAAGCAGCTGAAGATCCCACAACAGACTTCAGATCGCAGCCCGCCCCTGGGAGGCCAAAGCCCCTGTAGGTCGGAGGAGAAAAGTGGGGAAGTACCATGGAAACCAATAGTACCTAGAGCAGGCTAACCATACATAAACGGAGCTGGGGTTTACCAAGAATCTCTGCTGCGGGTCAGGCCGCTCTTCCCAGAGCTGGAAAAATACCGCTAGGGCCCAAGATGGCGGGAGACTCGGGCCCTGTTCCCACCCCCTCGTAATCCCGCAGGGGCCCCAGGGAGCATGTGCGGGCTTGAAGGCCGAATGCGGCGGGGGAGGCCTGCAGCTGCGCAAAGCGTCCCGCCTGGCGCTGTCCCTGGCTTCCTGAGGGCGGAAGCTGTGTGCGGCCTGGTAAGGGTGGTGCCCACTGGGAGTTCTTGAAGCTGGCATTAGGCTCCAGGTGGGCAGCCTCACAGCCTTGTCTCTCAGGGCCAGGCCATGGAGAGACTCTGGACGGGCTAATGTGGTGGAGAGGATGTAGCTTGTCATATGGGTGTGACACATTGGGGTGGTATCACCCCACTTCCTGGCTGTGCAAGGGTTGGAGTTCATGCAGACAGATCTATCTTGCAACTACCAGGATAGAAACTCAGGAGTCCCCAGTGAATTAGTGAAAGAAATGTCTATTTATTGAGCACCAGTTAATCAGATATTTAAGTTATTGCATTTAATTCTATTTCTCTATTTTGGAGAATCTTGAACTGGGTCCGTGAATTAGATGGTATTAATGTATACAATGTTAATTTCCTGATCTCAGTGGGTATGTTAGGGTTATGTAGGGAAAAGTCCTTGTTTATGGGAAATAGACAAAGTAGCGGGGGTTATTGGGCATAATGCCAGCAGTTTACTTTCAAATGGGGAGGGGACATGTTCTTTCTACTCTTCTTGCAACTGTTCTGTAAATTTGTAATTATTTTAAAAGAAACACTTTATTTGAAAAATTACTAGTCTCATAAAATGAGCCACACAACTCTATTTTTTTGTGTTCTGCAGCAATTAAATGACATTATATAACAAGGACAGAAAGTAACTGTCCTTTGAAAAATTAGAAACTCAACTATATTAAGTCATCTGGGTAGGTATTTTAGGTGAGGCAAAATCTTGCCTTGCACATCAGTTGTTTCATGCTCACAGATGGAGTCCAGTTTTCTTTTTCTTTTGACTATTTCCTCCTTTATTGTGTATGTTAATTATTCATATCTTTTTCTCTTGACAAGTCTTATCATCTGTATTGTTTTTTCTTGTAATTATTCTCCATTTTATTTTTTCTTTATCTGTATTCTTTCCTTCTAGTTTTTCTGACTTTATTACTTCATTTTCTTCAGCTTAATGTTTACTGTCTCTATTTTTAACCTTTCTCATTTTCTGAAAAATATATTTAAGCTATGAATTTCCCTTCAAGTACTACTTTAGTTGTATCCCTTAAGTTTTTAATGGTATAATTTCTTTATCTTTCAGTTTAAAATTGTCCTAATTCCTATTGAGATTTCTTTTGCCATCTGGGTAAAAGATAATTTTTCTTAATTTCCAAATATGTGGAAATGTGTTATTAGCTTTTTGATGCTCATTTGTAGCTTACTTGCATTAATTGCATTGTAGCCAGAAAATGTGGTCTGTAATGATACCAGTTACTTAAAATTTCTTGATACTTGCTTCTTCCCTAGTACCTAGTCATTTTTAAAATTTATGTCCAAAAAAAAAGAGAAAAAAATAAAATTAAAAAAATAATAAAATTTATGTCCATTAGATCAAGTTTGTTAATTGTGTTCAAGTGTTCTATATCGTTACTGATGTGCTTGTCAGCTTTATCAGTTACAGAAAGTGATTTTTATCAGCTTATTGTAAGTCTGCCTATTTGTCTTTTCTATACTTTGAATATATTTTTTAAAGTACATAAAGATTTAAAATTTATTTCTGATGAATTGACCGTTTTATCAATTTGTAATAACTTTCTCCATGTCAAGAGATTTTTTGCCTTAAGGTATTTTACCTGACATTTATTTAACATGGCTAAATACATTCATTGAGTTGGTATTTGCCATGGTGTATCTTTTTATATCCTTTTATTTACTAACCTTCTTTCTTGTCCTTATGATTTAGTGTGGCTCTTTATAAAGAACATGTAGCTCAATGTTGTTTGTTTACTCTTTGTTTAGTCAGTCTTAGAAGCTTGCATTTACCTTTGGTCCATTGACATTGATTATGATTTCTGATATTTTGTGATTTCTACCATTTTATTTTATGCATTGTCTTCCTACTTTTTCTAGGTTTCTCCAGGAATGCTTTCTCTTGAACTGATTTAATTTTATTCTTTACATACATTTCTCCTTCCTACTCCCTACCCCCACCTGCCATTTTCTGCTTTACCACTTGGGTAATTCTTTCTGGTACTATGTACTGGTACTATCTACTATCTTCGGGTACTATCTTTTCTGGTACTATCTAATTGTTGGTGGCCACTCAACAATTTTTAACACTTACTTAATGGAGCAAATTCTAAAGTTAACTTTTTACCCTCTTTTTAAACAATACAAGGGACCTTGGGACACTTTAACACACACACACACACACCTTTCTCTTTTTTGTATTTTTTATTGATATATCATTGTTGTACATATTTTTGGAATACATACGATATTTTGATATATGTATGCAATGTGTAACAATTCTCTCAGGTTAATTGAGATATCCATCAGATCTATTTTTGTTTTTTTGAGACACTTTCATACTGTTTACCATGGTGGCTGTTCTAATTTATATTCCCACCAAGAGTGTACTGATGTTCCCTTTCTTTGCATCCTCAACAGGATTTGTTATTTTTTGTCTTTTGGATAATAGTCATTCTAGTTGGGGTGAGATGATATCTCATGGCTGTTTTGATTGCATTTCCCTGATGATTAGTGATGTTGAACATTTTTTTTCATATACCTGTTGACCATTTGTATGTCTTCTTTTGAAAAATGTCTATGCAGGTCTTTTGCCCATCCTTTAATTGGATTATTTGGGGTTTTTTTTTTTGGCATTTCGTTATTTAGTTCCTGATAGATTCTGGTTGTTAATCCCTTGTGGGAGGGATGATTTGCAGATATTTCCTCCTAGATAAATTCCACACTTAGAGCTATCCCATTTTTGACAAAGTCACCAAGAACATACACTGGGAAAGGACACTCTCTTTAATAAATGGTGCTGGGAGAACTAGATCTCCATATGCAAAAGAATGAAACTAGATCCCCATCTTTCACCATACACAAAAATCAACTCAAAATGGATTAAAGACTTAAATTTAAGACTGGAAACTATGGAACTACTAGAATAAAATGTTGAGGAAATGCTACAGGACACTGATCTGGGCAAAGATTTTTTGGGTAAGACCTCAAAAACACAGCAAAATAGGCAAATTGGATTACAAATTGGATTACATCAAGCTAAAAGCTAAAAAGCTTCTTCACCAAAAAGGAAACCATTAACAAAGTGAAAAGACAAGCTACACATACTGCTTTCTAACTTACATGCTTTTTAACTTGAAATCTGCTGGAAGAAGTCTCCATGAACATATAGGTCTTACATTACCTATACATCAGTTAACTTATACTCATCCTTCAGTTCTCAGCTTACAGGCTGCTTCCTCTGAGAAGACTTCTAAGTCTGGGTGAGTAGTCATGACTGGAATACTGTACTATATACTTAGAAATGCCCAAAAGCTTCCCAAGGGGGTATACAGGCATAACAGTCCCAAAGGAATCAATTTTCAGACCCTCATCTTTTAAATGTGTTTTTTTCTGAGGCTGAGCTGCCTAAGAACCAAACCACCTGCGAGTCAGAATCAGCTAGTTGGTTCCCCTTTTCTCCTTCCCTTTCACTGTTGCCCAGTTTCCAATTTATAAATAAAGATGTCTCCTAGCCAGGTGCGGTAGCTTACGCCTGTAATCCCAGCACTTTGGGAGGCCAAGGTGGGCGGATCACCTGAGGTCAGGAGTTCAAGACCAGCCTCGCTAAAGTGGTGAAACCCTGTCTCTACCAAAAATACAAAAATTAGCTGGGTGTGATGGCACACGCTTGTAATCCCAGCTACTCAGGAGGGTGAGGCAGAAGAATCGCTTGAACCCAGGAGGTGGAGTTTGTAGTGAGCCGAGATCACGCCATTGCACTCCAGCCTGGGTGACAGAGCGAGATTCCATCTCAAAAAAAAAAAAAAAAGGTCTTCATCGCCTATATTTATTACTGTCTGTTACCCTGAAGTGTAAATTCCCCTGAAACACTGAACAAATAAGCAGCTGTTTAAAATAGTAGCATTGTGAAGCCTGCCTTTGTAGGGCCATTGTGTCTTTTTCCATATTATTCAAATTTCTGTGAGACACACACACAAAAACAACAACAACAACAACAACAAACAAAAACACTTCATTGACCTGTACACTGAAGATGAGTGCACTTTATATATATATATGTTATACCTCATTGAAAAAAGTTTTGAAAAAGTATCTTAAAATTAACAGTATGTTTTCTGAGCATATGTGTTAAATAAGGCATATCTAGGTGAAATAATAACACATATAATTTTTTTAAGTCCTTTTGTTAAGCTTCCCAGGAATTAAGATTGTAGACCATTCTAATGGCTAGGTAGAAAATCATTTTTCAAGTCAGGTAGTCTCTAATTTTAGTACTTTATTTTTTAAAAAAAGATTGAAGAATCTAGGCAAGTACCCAATTATCAGTAAATTAATTATCAATCATTACAGGTATGAGAGCATTAGGGGTATGAGAGAAAAATATTTAAGAACCACTAAGTTATACATTCTCATGGTAACCTGAACTTTTTCCCTTACTTATCATAATCTATAAATACATGCCTATTGATATGATTATTTGATGTGTGTTTCTCCAACATCAAGTCTCATGGAAATAATACTAAGCATATTGTTTATCCACAGTGAATCTAAGTCAAAGATTCAGTAAGCAAGTGGATTACTGTGCAAGTGCTATTTGCAGTCCTGGGAGTAGATGAGATCATGCAGAAACAGATAAACAGAGAAGAGGATGGAACTCTGGAAAACAGCAGAAGATAACTCCTTTTAGTATAAAAACCGTCATTTGTCTTCGCAACTTTTCCCTTTTCCTTTCCTGCTTTGTCCCTAGAGAGCACAGTGTTTTGCACACAGAAACAATTTCAATGTTAAAATAAACTTTCTTCCCTAAACATAGTCTAAGACACAGAATACATAATTACTCTTAGGAGTATTCTTTTCAGGGCAATAGTTACCTTAGAAGACTGCACCTTGTTGTCTTCACTGTCTTGTAGAAGAAACAGATGTGAAATACTCAAGATATAGATAGTCCCATAGCCCCTTCAAGGAAGTTGCAAGTGATCTTTCCTCAGAGCCTGACATCGAAAAGTTAATTTTTTTTGTTATCACTCAGTTTAATAAATCATCTCTGAGTGCATCACGCACTATCATGTCACATGTTCTAGTCAGTGGTAAGAATGTTTTTCTTCTTGCTCCCATATCCTCTAATATGCTAAGATCAAGTCCATTTATTCTGTGTTTCTTCCACTCACTTTCTAAAACTTTAGCTCTAAATAAATTAACATTGATGACTTGCTTAGATAGTCCCTATCTGGTTGGACTTGGTTTTCTATCTTGTCAGTTTTTTATGTGGCCACCGGGAGGCAGCATGAACTTGCCTACTGATAATCTCTCTTGATGCCTGTACATCTGCAGTCATCCTGTCACTTTTTAAAGAAAGATGTCTTTTCTATTTAAGATGTAATTAAATCTCACCTTTTTTTAAAATAATACTTGGTGATAATGGGACATGGGGAAACAGAGATCATCATATGCTTGTGTTAGAATGTTAATTGGAGCAATTTGAAAATTACTTATCTGAAACCTTAAAATTGTTTATGTCCTTTGCTCTGGCATTCCCCTTCCCCACACTCACTCTCCCATTCCCAGCAATTTCTCTTTATGGAATTATTGCCATCGTGAGCAAAGACTTAGCTACAGGGACATTCAGTACAGCATGCTCATACAAACATCAACTAGAAACAATATAAATGTCCAACAAGAACACATTCTGGTCATATAATAGATAGCTCTGAGGCTGATAAAAATGATATTATTGAAATTTTTCTGAAAATGTGGTATACATATCACCAGATCTGGTCCACAAGACCATTGTAAGTGGGACATGAAAAGGAAGCATGCTTCCTTTTCACTGTATCTCTTATCTGCTCCCAGAAACAGTGTCCTGGCCTTGTGGCCTTCCTCCTAGACAGGCAGAAGGCTATGGCTTCCCATACACACCCAGGCTCTTCTCTTCCCCAACCTCCTCTAGGACTTCCTTATCCTATTCCCTCTCCAAGGCCCAGGTTTCATCCCACTCCCTTTATTTATTTATTTATTTATTTATTTATTTATTTATGTTTTAATAAAGAAAGCTGTAAAAGAATGTCATCTCCATCTGAAGACAACAACAAATCCAAATAGTCATTTATTTATTTGTTAGATTTCTCAGCAATATTTTGGAGATTTTATTATAAAGGTTTTGCACATTTTGATAAGCTTTTTCTTTTCTCAGACAGGGGCTCACTCTGTCAGCTGGAGTGCAGTGGTGTGTGATCATGGCTCACTGTAGCTTTGACCTCCTGGGCTCAAGTGATCCTCCCACCTCGGGCTCAAGTGATCCTCCCACCTCAGCCTCCCAAGTAGCAAGGACTACAGTCACATGCCACCACACCTGGTTGATTTTTAATATTTTTTTAGAGGTGGGATCTAGCTATGTTGCCCAGGCTGGTTTCAAACTCCTGGGCTCAAGAGATCCTCCTGCCTCCACCTCCCAAAGCGCAGGGATTACAGGGATGAGCCACTGTGCCTAACCTCCAATCCCTTTCCTTCCCACACAGCTCTTTCTGGTTCCCCAGCACAGCCCTCCAGGTGGTCGAGCAGCCAGCCAGCTCCACCCTCATTGCCTTCAAGCTCCTTTTCTTAATATTTCCTGAAACCCCCAGCTCTGCCCCTTCCCCTAAGCTCCTGTCTACCTTCTTGTCCTATGATGTGCTTGCCATATCTCTTAGAGAAAACCTGTCCTGATTGCTTTTTTTTCTTTTTTTTTTTTTGAGACAGAGTTTTGCTCTTTGTTGCCCAGGCTGGACTGCAGTGTAGCGATCTAGGCTGACTACAACCTCCGCCTCCCGGGTCCAAGAGACTCTCGTGTTTCAGCCTTCTCAATAGCTGGTATTACAGGTGCCTGCCACCACACCTGGCTAATTTTTGTATTTTTAGTAGAGACAAGGTTTCACCATATTGGTCAGGCTGGTCTCAAACTCCTGATTTCAGGTGATCCTCCTGCCTCAGCCTCCCAAAGTGTTGGGATTACAGGCGGGAGCCACCTCGCCGGCCCCTCCTCACTCCTCTCCTCCAGCCTCCCCTTTGTCCCTGGAAGTCCCCAGTTTCTTCTGCATGCCATTGCTCCACCCTTAGCTTCAGCACTCCCTTCCCCAAGCCTACAAAATAGACTTCTTTTATTTATTCTGGCCCTTTTATTTTCTACTCCTATCTGTTTCTTCCTTATAGCCCTCCTCCTCACTTCTAACCAAAGCTTCTTTGCCATTTAATATGTTTTGCAAGTAGAGCTTCCCCAAATATCTTGTTTGATTTAGGAAACAATCATAAATGTCATCTAGATATATTCCCAACTCAGTAGCGAGGATAAAGTGTTCACCTTTTTCTAACAATAGTCACAAATATGTGGCAGTCAATTTCTTTCTGTAAATGTATAGGAGCTAGTTAAATTCCTAGTTCAGAACGTATAAAATTGGTGAATTTCCCAAGGAGAAATTAAAAAGCAGTTAATATTTCCTATGAATTCTATGATTTAGAGAGTAGTTGGGAAACGAGAAATAAGACAAAATACAAGTAAATGTTTTTCTAAGTTCATTTAAATCAGATCCTAAATCTCACTTGAAATTCATTGTGGTCTTTGTGGAGAAGAATTCTTTTGGAAATTGGAAATTATTGGTTCATGGTTCATGTGTACTAGAGCAATATAATGTCTCTTATCAAGAATTGCCTTTAGTATGGAACATCATTTATTAATGTCATCCAGTCATGGGTCACATTATTAATGATGAAACAGAAAAGCAAGTCCCTTACATCCTATTCTCAAAGTCTTCTAAAAGTATCAATGTAAATTGAATAAAATCTACATTTTATGTATTTGAAATATAACAATGAGTAGCCAAAAAGATATACATAAGCATCTGACAACAGTGTGAAAAAAAAAGTTTTTAGTAATATGAATACACATCAACTTTGGCCACGTATCATTACCTTAAATCTCACAAGAAGAATTTTGAATATTTTTATCTACCATTATCAAAGATTGACTAGGTCTATATACCTTAACATTCTATATTTCTGAACCTTACTTCTTTAAAAACCAAACTTTTATTTTAAGCATTTCAGCTAGAATTTCTGTGAAACTGATTATATTTTATACACATCCTGTCTTCTTAAATGCTCACACCTGTAATCCCAGCATTTTGGGAGGCCGAGACGGGCAGATCACGAGGTCAAGAGATCAAGACCATCCTGGCCAACATGGTGAAACCCCGTCTGTACTAAAAGTACAAAAATTAGCTTGGCATGGTGGTGCATGCCTGTAGTCCCAGCTACTCGGGAGGCTGAGGCAGGAGAATAACTTGAACCCGGGAGGCGGAGGTTGCAGTGAGCTGAGATCGCTCCACTGCACTCCAGCCTGGGCAACAGAGCAAGACTCCGTCTCAAAAAAAAAAATGTTTTAACTTTTACTGGATAGTTCAAGGTCTTCATTGTGAGTTTCCATTATGGTACAATGGAGGCCAAGGAAGGAACTGTTAACCCCATGCTCAGTGGCCTGAGGAAGTAACAAATGTTCTTATGTCTGTTTTTTATTGTTTTGTTATCATAACAGTAAAAAACACCATCTGCATCTAACTGCTTTCTTTACTATTGAGAAACACTACTCCATGGGCCTCTTAAATGCCTAGATGTCTTGGTGGGTTATGCCAAGGATGGAAGGCCCTGACCACTCTTTATCTAGAACGTTTCTCATGGCTATTTCCAGTGAGCAATGTTGAGAGATGCTGTAAGCTCTCCTTTCAGACCACAGCTGCTGTCAGTGGTACATTTTCTAGGTTCCACATTCGTCTCCCATGACACAACCCATGTTTGTGCAAGCATAGGTCTAGGACCACCTAAGCTGCCCTGCAGAACTGGTGCTCCAGAAACCAATGCAACCAAGTTTGCACTCCGGCTACTGCTTTTGCTGTGAGTAATCGTTTTTGACTCTAACTCAGGAGGTCTTCTATCTTCTGTCAGCATCCCTGACATTGTGGCAAGCTGACTTGTTAGCTTGCAGCAGAGTAAAATCTCAGACCCCTCACAGTTCTTGTAAGCTACCTTTCAATTCGTTGTTTAATTTATACTTTTAACACACATATATTAATCATGTATGCCTCTAGAAATACGTAAGATCCAAGGGGAATATAAAGTGGACAATAGTTGGAACCTCCCTTAAGAAGTTCTCCCTGGTGAGGAATGCAGACGCTCAAACAGATTTTGTAACAAAACATGATTGATATTAAAGGCACAGAGATGGGAACCAGAAGGTTAGGGATAGCTTTCTGGAGGAGGAAACAATGAATTAAGCCTTTAAGGATGAGGACTTGACCAGGCAGAGACAAAGGACATAGAGGAATGTGAAAATGATATAAATCAAGGAGAAATACTATATAAATTTAGCATGGGGTTAACTATATAGTGTACCCACTAATTTTGAGATGCCTCCTGATATCAGAAGTGTTAAAATGTGAAGGAAAAGAGTCTTTTAGAATTAAGCAATTGGCATAATTTTAAATAATTGCTGGTGACACATCTGTGAAATAACATATAATTGTGTATTCCTCAGAAAACTGGAACACTATTTAAACAAATTGAATCATTATCTAGAACTAAAACTCTTGGTGATGTCAACATACTTTAGAGGAACAGGAGCACAGATAAGCATGAAGTTAAAGTCTCTTACAAGAATTATCTTATTTGATGTGATGAAGCTATGTATTATTAACTCTGGGCATTATAAAAAAAGACAAGTATAATTAAGTTTATTTAAAATGTAAAGTTACAAACCCTGTAGGCAAAAAAAAATTAAAATTCAGCTATATGTGACTTGCAAAATATACACTGAGAAAGCACCATATGCAAAGATTGAAAATGAAGGGATAAAAAGTATATACCATATGTATCCATTATCTATTACCACAATAATCCTGTATAACAAACAACCACATAAAAAGTAAGCATTTATGTGATTCCCAAATCTATAGGTTAGATGGGGTCATCTGATGGGTTATCAATGGATTAGCTTTGCTCTCTCATGTATTTGGGGGTGTGGCTAGCTGGTTCAGCTCTTCCTCACATTTCTCTCATCATACAGCAGGCTAGCGTGGGCTTGTACATATGGCAGTAGCCAGGTTCCAAGAGACAGCAGGAGTAAGTACACAGTCCTTTTGAGGGACAGGCTCAGAACTGGCACATCATCATTCCAGAAAATTCTATTCTATCACAAGACCAGCCCAGATTCAAGGAACAGGGAAACAAACTCCTATACTTAATGGTAAAAATCTGCAGGTGATTTGCAAAATGTGTAGATACAGGGAAGAATAAAGAATTAGAGATGTTTTTAAAGTTAATCTTCTACACCATGCAAATTCTAATGGAGGTAAAGTGGGTTTAGCCATGTTAATATCAGCCGGAAAAAAAAAAAAAAACAGATGATAATGGAACAGTCCTTTCTCTGACCACCATATTAAAACCACAACCTGTCTTCTGCTCCTGCAGTTCCCAAGCACCCTTCATCTGTTTTGCATTTTCTTTGTTCCATAGCACCTATAATATTATAATTTACTTATTGTGTTTATTTTTTTAGTATGTGTTTTGCCTGGAAAAATATAAGCTCCCCTAGGGGAGGATCTTTGGCTTTTTTGTTCACTAGTATTTCCTATCTACCTGGGGCAGTGCCTTATACGTGGTAGTTATCCTGAAAATATTTGTTGAATAAATTAATACACCAAGAAGATATCAAAATTATTAATATATAATTTTGGTGGCTTATTAGATTATTGCTTCCAATTCTTTACTCTCCCCATGTAAGAGAATTATATATTCATCCCCTTTACCATATAACTTTGCAGTGCCACCCTTGGGACAGGGTTAATTTGCCAGCCCTAATGATGTTGAGCTTAACCATGTGATTTATCTCAGCCAATGGAGTGTAAACAGAAGTAACATATACCAGAAGCTTTAAACATGCTTTTGTGGTGTGGCTTCCTCTCTAATAAATTCCCCTCTTAAGAAGAAAAGGCCCTGAGCAGTCACTGGTCCTGGAGTTAACAGAATATGGAATAAACCTAACCCTACCCAGCAGCCTGAAGCACAGCCACCCCAGCTGACCTACAGAGCTTTCAGCAAGAAATAAATGCTTTTTGGAAGCCACTGAGATTCTGGAGTTGTTTATTATCTCATATTGCACCAGAAACTTAATATAGCACAAAAACATAATAATAAAACTTCTAAGCAGAAAGCAAAATCTGAAAACTACATAAAGAAATTGACAAATCAGATCATGGTAAAAAAAATTTAACATACCTTTATCAGAAATTGATACATCCAAAAGGCCAGGCATGGTGACTCATGCCTATAATCCCAGCACTTTGGGAGGCCGAGGTGGGCAGATCACCTGAGGTCAGGAGTTCAAACCAACCTGGGCAACATGACAAAACTCTGTCTCTACTAAAAATACAAAAATTACCCAGGCGTGGTGGCGGGTGCCTGTAATTATAGCTACTCAGGAGGCTGAGGCACGAGAATCACTTGAACCTGGGAGGCAGAGGTCGCAGTGAGCTGAGATTGTGCCACTGCATTCCAGCCTGGGCAGAAAGCAAAACTCCATCTCAAAATAAATAAATAAATAAATAAATAAAAGAAATTGATACATCTAAATGGTAAAATAATTGGTATGGTTGTAGTAAGTTTGACAAAATGTGGTCCATTAGATATATAAATGGAATACTGCACCTAACATAGAATATGCATTCTTTTCAAATATATATGGGACAATATAAAAAGCAATGAAATACTTGCTCATGAAAGTTTCAACAATTTGAAAAAAAATAGTTTCACACAGCACATTATCTGAACTTACCAAATTAGAAATAATAAAAGGGATTTTTTAAAGTATTTTGAAACTAAAACTACATCCCTAAGTAACTCATGGAACGTAACTCATGAAACGAAGTCACAATGGAAACTTTAAACGATTTCAAACTGAATTGAAAGTGCAACATACCAACACATGTAGAATTGTGGAACAGTGAATGCAGTGCTTAATTCCTAGCCTTCGTAACATTTAACATGCTTTTAATTACACTTTTTTAAAAAAATGCATACATTTATATTAAATGAGTTAAGTTTTCAACTCAAGAAGCCAGATAAAGAACAAGGAAAACTGAAAAAAAAAAAAAAATTGTAGGGAGAATTTCACTTTCAACCGTGATAGACAAATAGGAATGGGATTTATCCTAACATCTTAAATAACTTGAAAAGCAGATAAAATATGAAACAATGGTTTTTAGACATCAAAAAACAGGCAGTGCTGGACAGTAATCCCAAAGAGAAGGGAAACAAATAAGGTAAGCCTTATGATTGCCCCAGGTCACTGCCTGAAGAGAATTTCCAGACTACAGTGCAAGGGAGAAAACAAAACAGAGTCCAGCAGCCTTCCTGACTTGAGAAGACAGAATTCAAAGTTTTAGGAGGTCAGGAGATACACACAGACAGCACCAGAGATCTGCAGTAGGGTTCCCCTCTATGTCTTTGCATGAGTGCAGATCTATACAAGCATGCAAGGAAGTTACCTAACACCAAAGAAAGAACCATTAGAAAGGAACAGGTGCAACAATGCTCACAGCTCACTTCTCATTAGGCGTAGTCCATGCTCAAACCAACAAGAAAGAAAGACTTCCTAATACTGGGAGCATCAAACAGAATCCTCAAAAAGGTATTTCCCCAGTAATGGGAGCAAATTAACCCTAGACTAAATCTGCTTTGGATTTACCTAACACTTAAAAACAAGCCTTAAAAACTATTTAATTCATTTCAACTAACTTAACTGAATCTCAGAATAAAGCCCAAAAATATCTAAAGAGATAAAATCCAGCAACCATCAGTGACCAGAATCCAATGGCAAATCACCAGTTAGGTAAGCAGGCAGGAAAATACAACCCACAGCCAGAGGGGGCAAAAATCAATCAACCAATCCCAGAAATGGCAGAGATTATAAATTTAACAAATAAGAATGTTAGAACAGCAAAATCAACTCCACACTTTAAGAAGACAGAGAAAAACATGAACACAAGGAAGATATAAGTAAGACTCAACTTGAATTTTAGGAGTGAAAATACAGGATATGAAATGAAAAATATTCTAAAAATAATTAGCATATTAGACACTGCAGAACCAAAGATTAATTTACTTTGAGGGCATAGCAAGAAAAACTATCCAAAATGAAAGAGTGAAAACAATGGGAAAACAAACAGGAAGGAATATTGGTGAGCTGCAGGACAATGTCAAAGATGAAGGAAACAAAAGCATTTGAAGAAATAATGTCTGAAACTTTAAAAACTTGATGAAAACTATAAAACTTCAGATCCGGAAATCTCATTGAAATCTAAGCAGGACACATGAAGAAAATTACACCAAGACACATCACAATCAAATTGGTGAAAAACAATGATAAAGATAAAACCTTAAAAGAAGCCAGAATCGGGGGTGGAGTGTTACATGTACAGCGGAACAAAGGAAAGAATGAAAGCAACTTCTCATCAGAAACCAGACAGACTTTAAGACAATGCTGTGACATCTTTAAAACACTGAAAGAAAAAACTGGCAACCAAGAGTTCCATACAAAGCAAAAAATATCTGTCTTTCAAAAATGATAGCTAAATAAAGACTTTCATAGACAGACAAATGCTGAGAAAATTCATCATCCAGAAAGAATTTTAATTTTTTCCCACTACAAGAAATACTAAGGGTAGTTCTTCAGGCAGAAATTAAATGACGCCAAATGGAAATGTGGATATACACAAAGAAAGAAGACATTTGAAAATTATTAATATGTAAAATAACCATTAAATATTTTTCTCATTAAAAAAACCTTTAAGAAGTAATTGTTTAAAACCAAACCAAAAGTTTGTTGAATGTATACTGTATTAGCGGTAAGTTTTACAATAGCAAGAGCCAAAGGATAGAAGAGGAAAATGAAAGTATACTGCTTTAAAATTCTTACACTCTATGGAAAGTGGTACATTTTGATTAAGTGTCCAACTGTAAATTGTTCATAATGTAATTGTAAACCCTAGAGAAAAATCTAATATATATCCAAGACTGGAGATAAAAATGAAATTATAAAAAAAATCAGCTTAACCAAAAGAAGGCAAGAAAATGGGGAAGAGGGAAAAGATGTAGAACATAAGAAACAAATAGCAGATGGTAGATAAAAACCTAACCATATTAATAATATTAATCACATTAAATATAAGTGGTATAAATAGTCCAGTTAAAGACACAGTTTGTCAGATTGGATTAAAAAGCAAGAATCTATTGTATGTTGTCCAAAAGAAACCCACTTTAAATATAAATACATAGACAGGTTAGAAATAAAATGAGAGAAAAATAAATTCCATGCCCATACAATCCAAAGAAACTTTCAGTGGTCATAGTAATATCAAATGAACCAGATTTCAGTGCAAGGAATATTACCAGAGTGAAACAATGTAAATATATAATGATATAAGTTTCATTCATTAAGAAGACATAATAGTCTTCTATGTATATGCAAATAATAACAGATCCTAAACATCTGAAGCAAAAAAGTGTTAAAACTGAAAAGAGAAATGGAAAATTTCACAATTATAGTTAAAGATTTTAAATGTAGACCAAGTAAAAAGAAAATCAGTAAAGGTATAAAGACTTGACCAATATTTTCAATTAACTTGAAATCGACATTTAATAAAAATCCCACCTAACAATCTTTATAATTGCACACAAAACATGTGCCAAAATAAATCATATTCTTAACCATAAAACCAGTCCATATAGATGTAAAAGAATTCAAGTCATACAAAGTATGTGCTATGAACACAATAGTTAAATTAGAAATCAGTAACAAACAGATATCTAGAGAAACTCAAAGTATTTGAAAATTAAACATACACTTCTAAATAACTAAGGGTAAAAGAAGAAATCACAAGGGAAATAGAAAATATATTGAACTAAATGGAAATTAAAAGGCAGTGTATAAAAATTCATGCAATATATAGAAAGTAGTGCTTTGAGGGAAATTTATATTATTAAGTGCTCTCATAATAATGTTATAAACTTTTACATTAAAACACTTTGAGAGTAAATTAAACATTGATAAGAATAAAGAAAAATAATAAAAATCAAAGCAAAAAATAAATAAAATAGAAAAGAAACAATAGTGAAAAATAAAAGAACCCAAAATCTGGCTTATTGAAAAAACCCTGCAAGACAACTTAGGCAATACCATTCAGGACATAGGCATGGGCAAAGATTTCATGACAAAGATGCCAAAAGCAATTGCAACAAAAGCAAAAATTGACAAATAGGATCTAATTAAACTAAAGAACTTCTGCACAGCCAAAGAAACCATCAACTGAGTAAACAGACAACCAACAGAATGGGAGAAAATTTTTGCAAACTATGCATCCAACAAAGGTCTAATATTTAGCATCTACAAGGGACTTAAACAAATTTAAAAAAAAAAAGCAACCCCATTAAAAGTAGGCAAAGGACATGAACAGATGCTTGTCAAAAGAAGACATACATGTGGCCCACCAGGCGCGGTGACTCACGCCTGTAATCCCAGCACTTTGGGAGGCCAAGGCAGGCGGATCACGAGGTCAGATCGAAACCATCCTGGCTAACACGGTGAAACCCCGCCTCTACTAAAAATACAAAAAATTAGCCAGGCGTGGTGGCGGGCACCTGCAGTCCCAGCTGAGGCAGGAGAATGGCATGAAACTGGAAGGCAGAGCTTGCAGTGAGCTGAGATCACACCACTGCACTCCAGCCTGGGCGACAGAGCGAGACACCGTCAAAAAAAAAAAAAAAAGACAACAATGTGGCCAACAAGCACGTGAGAAAAATGCTTAACATCATTGATCATTAGAGAAATGCAAATCAAAACCATAATGAGATACCATCTCATATCAGTCAGAATAGCTATTATTAAAAAGTCAAAAAATAACAGATACTGGCAAGGTTGTGGAGAAAAAGGAATACTTATATACTGTGGGGTTGGCTTTGTTCCTTACTCATTCACCTGACATGAGTGAAGGACAAAGGACATTCTAAGCCCGGATGTTTGCACTGGTGGATGATACCAAACATTTAAGTAAGAAATCATACCAATCCTTTGCAAAATCTTTCAAAAAATAGAAAAGAAAGATCTTCACAACTTGTTTTATGAGGCAAACCTTACCCTGATACCAAAACTAGGCAAAGCCGTAAAAGGAAAGGAAACTTACAAACCAGTACCCTTCACAAACATGAACATAAAATTCCTTAACAGAATATTAGCAAGTCCAGAAATATAGAAAGAAAATGTCATGTGACATTTAGGAATGCAGGTTGGCTTAACATTTAAAAATCTGTCAATATATGTCATCAATTTAGGAAATAAGAACAGGAAAGTTATATAATCATCTTAATAAAGGCAGAAACTCCATTTGACAGTCTTCATCTTCCTTTCATGATGTAAACTCCAAACTACCTAGGAACTACCTAGAAGGGAATTTCACCTTGACTTAAAAACTCCTATAGCTAATATCACACTTAAAAGCCTGAATGTTTTCCTCATAAGATCAGAAAACAAGGCAGAAATATTCACTCTTACCACTTTTATTCATCACTGTACTGAAGGTTCTAACCAGTGTAATAGATCAAGGAAAACAAATAAATGCATCTAGATTGGAAAAGTACTGCTGCCTTTATTCACAGATGACTTGGTCCTGTATGTAGAAAATCCTAAGGAATTCACAGAACTATTAGAATTTTTAAGCAAGTTTAGCAGGTAATAAGATACAAAATCAACATTTTAAAAATCAGTTCTACATGTTAGCATCGAACAACTGGACAAACAATACATGTTAGCATTGAACAACTGGAAACACAAATTTTAAAAATTATCTATAATATCATCATAAATACAGGCCAGGCGTGGTGCCTCACGCCTGTAATTCCAGCACTTTGGGAGGCCAAGGTGGTCAGATCGTTTGTGGTCAGGAGTTTGAGACCAGCCTGGCCAACATGATGAAATCCTATCTCTGCTAAAAATACAAAAATTAACTGGCGTGGTGGCACTCACCCAGCTACTCAGGAGGCTGAGGCAGGAGAATGTCTTGAACTGAGGAGAGGAGGTTGCAGTGAGCCGAGATCATGCCACTGCACTCCAACCTGGGTGACAGAGCAAGACTCCATCTCAAGAAAAGAAAGAAAGAAAAAAAAATGAAATACTTAGAGAAAATATATACAATACCTGTACACTGAAAATTATAAAATGTTTCTAAGGGAAATGTTTAAAGACCTAAATAGATGATGACATAGTCAGTGCTATGGATCTGATAGCTTAATGCTGTTAAGATGTCAGTTCTCCCAAAATTGATCTGCAGAATTAACACAATCCCAATCAAAATCACAATCGGCACTTTTTTTTTTCTTTTTTTTTTGAGACTGAGTCTCACTCTGTCACCCAGGCTGGAGTGCAGTGGCGTGATCTCTCACTGCAACCTCGGCTGCCCGGGTTCAAGCGATTCTTCTGCCTCCGACTCCCGAGTAGCTGGGATGACAGGTGCCTGCCACTGCACCAGCTAATTTTTGTAGTTTTTAGCAGAGACAGGGTTTCACCATCTTGGCCAAGCTGGTCTTAGAACTTCTGACCTCGTGATCCATCCCCCTCGGCTTCCCAAAGTGCTGGGATTACAGGCATGAGCCACCACGCCCGGCTACAATCGGCCTTTTTTAAAGAACGAAATTGTTCAGATTTGCCCTACCATATTTCAAGACATCCTCAAAAGCCACACAATCAACATAGTGATTTATGTAGAGACAAATAGATTCATGGAACAGAATAGTCAACTTTGACAATGGAATACTACTTAGCACTTAAAAAAAAAAAAAAACCCAAACTACAGATACATGTAACAACATGGATATAACTCAAAAGCATTATCCTAATTGAAGCAACCATACACAAAAGACAAAATACTGTTCATTTATGTTTATATGAAGTCTCAGAAAAAGCAAAGCTATAATAACAGAAAGCAGATTTGTAGTTGCCAGGGCTCAGGGAGAGAAAGGAGGGAATTAACTGCAAAAAGGCATAAGCGAACTTTCTGAGCTGCTAGAAATGTTCTGTATCTTGATGGTATCGGTGATCATACTACTGTATACATTTGCCAAAAGTCATTGAATTATACACTTAAAATTGGTGAATTTTATTGTATATAAATTATATTTCCATAAAATTGACAAAAAATAAAGACGGAAGCAATAAACATTGAAAAGTACAACAGGAATTCATGAAATAGAAAAATAAAAGAAAGTTTTATCTTTGATAAAACTAATAAAGTGGACAAATCTCTAGCAAGACTTACCAAGAAAAGGAAAGACAAACAAAAAATATTATGAGGAAAAGAGACCTGAACTACAGATAAGGTTGAGTGAATGCTATGAACACAAAAGAGGAAAAGCCCTCTCAGTAGGGTCATGTGGCTCAGTCATATGATGGCCTGCTGTTCTGCGGTTAAAATGAATGAACTGAATCTATGTGTATCTAAAAATCAGGGAAACATAGCTTTAAAATAAAATAACAAGTTGCAAAAGGATACACACAATTGTATTGATTTGCGTAGATGTTAAACAAACAATAGTATATATTATTTATGCATGCATACTCATACATGTATAGAAAAAAATTTAATATGGGAGATTTAGAATGCCAATTTACCAACTTCAAGATACTGGTTTCCTCTGGAAGGAAGAAAACTTGAAGGAATAGGAGACAGGGATACAAAAGGGAACTTTGGCTGTATCTTTATTGTTTTATTTCATTTGTGTTATGAAGAAACTGGCAAAAAGACAGAGACACAGCTGAAGGCAAAAAAAAGCAAAATATTATTATCTTTTAGGAATTATGGTGAGTAGGTGTCTGTTATATTAAATTTCTGTGCTTTTTGTATATTTTAAATGTTTCATAATTTGAAATAATTTGAGGGTTGACTAAAGCCAGCCATTACTATAAACTTCTGTATAGTGATCATATATGTGAATAATCTCACAATTGACATAGGTACTGGATTTATAGACAAGAGCCAATACATTTTAGTTTTATCAGTAAACTTTATCAGAAGTATTAACAAATTGAGAATTATATTGGTAGATTCTTAGTTATAATTCTTTACAGATTCCTGAAGAAGGCCAGAGTTAACACTAGTATCCACTAGATAATTTCAATATGTCACTAAATGGCAGATATCAAAGTCCATATCATGATTAATTGTTGCTAAGGGTGAATGAATGCCCTATGATCCTGTCCTTGCAAATAAGGTCAGAGAAATGTCTGTGCTTAGAAAAGAATCAATGTGATAAAAATCCAGCCAAGAATTAATTTTATCATGTCCTTCCTGTATCTTAGCACTTATCACTTTGAATCATAATTGCCTGTCTGTCTGTATGCTTGGCACACAGTAGGCACACAATAAATAATTAACTGGCTAACTACTCTCTAGGAAAGTAAGTTCCATGAGTAGAGGGATTGTGTCTGTTTATCCCTAGCTCCTAATACAGTGGACCTCGCATGGAGTAGGCACTAGCAAACATTTTTTGAATGGGTGTAGGGGGAGGTAAGATGCTGCTACTTCCATAACAATTTCCTAGATCTTCATCTGAAAAGATCTCTTCCTCTCAAATGTATAACTCTTCTTAGAATGTTTGACATGTTTCTTGTAGTTACTTGTATTTATGCATCATTTCCACAACTACATCGTATTACCTTTCAAGTTTCTTGAGAGCAGGGAGTATTTCCTTTGTGTAATTTATTACAGAATGATGGAAAGTGGAAAGCAGACGAATATCTTAAACCTAAAATTAATTCATTTAAACTTTTCTAAGTTCAGTGGAATTATATTGACCTTAAAGTAAGCAACTTCAAATCATTTAAAGTGAATTTCACTTGCATGAATTAAGTTATTTAGTAGCAAAGAAATGGACTATAATATGTCATGCCATGCCACCTACAGGGCTAGACTGCTTGTTTACTCAGCTATTTCCTGTTAAACCCTAATGAACAAAGACAGCTGCCAAACATTTTCTAGGTCATTTGTTCTGTTTGTAAACAGAAAGTGTACAATATTTAACAAGCTGTAATCATTTGCAAACTAGATTTATGCAGAATGAAAGAATTACAAAAGAGAGGAGGGAAATTAATGCAAGTCTTAAGTGCTTAATGACCCCATTAATTGAGAAAGAGGTAATTGGAGAAATTAAACAGAAGAGGTAATGGCCTTAGAGTCATTAACCTATTCTGAGAGTACTGCTAATGCTTACCAGGTGGTTTTCTTCTAAACTGAAAGTTGAGATTCAGTGTACTTTAATACAATAGTTCTTGAATCTGGCCAATCCTAAGAATCACCTGGAAAGCTTTTGAACAACACAAGTCCTGAGATCCTCTTCTTTCTTAATCAAAATCTTCGGGGTAGGGCTCAAGCATATGGATTTTTAAAAGCTGGCCAGGTGATTCTTTAGATTTTTTGATAAAAATCAGGCTCAATGTAGACATCATTGCTTTAGAAGAGGGTTTCTCAACCTTGGCACTGATACAAACAGGAGGCAGGGAAATACTAGGTAGAAAAGGGTGGGGTCCCTAGCAAGTGTTCCGCCCTCAAACCTGGGCCTGCAGCCCCAAACGAGAACTTCACTCCCTGTTTTCACGCCTGAATTCTGCCTTTTCAAAAACCACCCTGGCCCACCACACCCCCAACCCTGTACCCATAAAAAGCCCAAGCTCCATTGGCAGAGGAGCAGAGCAGTGCAGCAGAGGAGAGAAGAGAAGCGTCTGAACGTCTGCACGTCAGAGACTATGGTTGGAGAGGAGTTTGGCCATCCCATGCTGAACTCCAGGGGAAGATTATATTTCCACTCTATCCCATTTCCAGCTCCCCATGACACTGAGAGCAACTCCCATTGCTCAATGAAATCCTGTGCATATACCACCCTTCAATCTGCTCATGTGACCTGATACTTCTTGGACACCAGACAAGAATTTGGGATACACCGGGTGTGGGAATCCAAAAAGACTGACACTTCACTGAGCTGTTTTAACACTTAAGCCATCCGTGGATGGCAAAGCTAAAAGACCATTGTTTGTAGTACATCCCCTCCGGGGTTTTAGAGGATGCTGCCGCGGGCCAGTACACGGTTCATTCCTGCGGACACCCAAAGGCACTCACCCCAGCTCCTGCACCTGCTCACATTTGTGCTCCCCCTCCAGCAAGGGGTTTGAGCGTGGCGGAGGAGTAAACGAGCCACACACCTGTCGCAAGTTCTACAAAGGTGTCAAGGGAACTCTCCCATCTCAGCACTATTGACGATTTGGATGGCTAATCATGGTGGAGGCTGCCCTGTGCCTCGCAGAATGTTTAGGAACATCTCTGGCCTCCGCCCAGTGGTTACCTCCCTCCCCTAGAACCACCAAGGCCTAGACCTCTTCACTGCTGAGAAAGGAGGACTCTGCACCTTCTTAGGGGAAGTCGTTTTTACACTAACCAGTCAGGGATAGTATGAGATGCCACCTGGCATTTACAGGAAAAGGCTTCTGAAATCAGACAATACCTTTCAAACTCTTATACCAACCTCTGGAGTTGGGCAACATGGCTTCTCCCCTTTCTAGGTCCCGTGGCAGCCATCTTGCTGTTACTCGCCTTTGGGTCCGCGCCGCCTTTATGAGCTGTAACACTCACTGTGAAGGTCTGCAGCTTCACTCCTGAAGCCAGTGAGACCACAAACCCACAGAGAGGGACAAACAACTCCCAACGGGAGGAACGAACAACTCCGGACGCGCCAACTTTATGAACTGTAACACTCACCGCAAAGGTCTGCAGCTTCACTCCTGAAGCCAGCGAGACCACAAACCCACAGAGAGGGACAAACAACTCCCGACGGGAAGAACGAACAACTCCGGACGCGCCAACTTTATGAACTGTTAACACTCACCATGAAGGTCTGCAGCTTCACTCCTGAGGCCAGTGAGACCACGAACCCACCGGAAGGAAAGAACAACTCCAGACGCGCCGCTTTTAAGAGCTGTAACACTCACCGCGAAGGTCTGCAGCTTCACTCCTGAAGTCAGTGAGACCACGAACCCACCGGAAGGAAGAAACTCTGGACACATCTGAACATCAGAAGGAACAAACTCCGGACACGCCGCCTTTAAGAACTGTAACACTCACCGCGAGGCTCCGCGGCTTCACTCTTGAAGTCAGCGAGACCAAGAACCCACCAATTCCGGACATACTAGGTTATAAAAATCAAAATGTCTCAAGACATGGCCAGATTCTTTTGGGAGGTAAAAATCACCACCAGTTGAGAACCTCTGCTTTCATGCTATAGCACAACACTGTCTGATAGAACTTGCTGCAATAAGGGGAGCAGTCTCTGTCTGTACTGTCTGATACCAAAGCCATAAACAAAATCTGGTGATTGAGCCCTTGAAATGTGGCTAATGCTGGGCATGGTGGCTCACACCTATAATCCCAAGGCTTTGGAAGGCCAAGACAGAAGAATTGTTTAAATCCAGGGGTTCAAGTTTAGCCTGGGAAAAGTAGTGAGAACCCATGTCACAAAAAAAAATTTTTTTTTCACTTTTCTGGGCGTGGTGGTGTGTGCCTGTAGTCCCAGCTACTAGGGAGGCTGAGGCCAGAGGATTGCTTGAGACTTGAAGGTCAAGGCTGCAGTGAGCCATGATCACACCACTGCACTCCAGCCTGAATGACAGAGTGAGACCGTCTCTCAAAAAAACAAAAAAAAAAAGAAAAAAAAAGTAAGAAAAAAAGAAGTATGGCTAGTGTGATTTGGAATTGAATTTTAAATTTTATTTTATTTTAATTTTAAAAGCAGCACATGATTGGTGGCCATAATGTTGGACAGCACAGCTTTACAAGATTCAGATATGACTGTAGGCAATGAAATTGATACAATTTCCTCCTAAGTGCTTCTGAGACCTGCCATGTACAAATAATTTACAAGAATAGAAAATCTACCTAACCCCCTGTATGGATAAGAAAAATATCTTAGGACATTATAACTAAAAGAAAGTTTACTTGCAGTTTTGTTTTCTAAGGGCTACCTAGGAAATGTTTTTTGTTACCACCATTGATATCCAGATTATGCAGACTGGCTAGGGTTAGCCCCTTTCAGTCCCAAACACGATCTCCTTTTACTGTCCTTAACATTTTCTTCTGAAAAGTTCTCACTGTTGCCTGTTTTCTCTCAATTCTTAACTGGTTAAATATACAATTACCATATGACCCGCAATTTCACTCCTAGGTATAGATTCAAGACACATAAAAATATATGTTCACAAAAACACTTGTACATCAATGTTCATAATAGCCAAAAAGAGGAAATAACCCAAATGCCCATCAACTGATGAATGGATAAACAAAATGTGATATATCTATACAATGGAAATTTTTTGGCAATAAAAAACAGTGAACTACCTCTCTTACATGCTACAACACAGACAAACCTTAAAAACGGTATGCTGAGTGAAAGAAGCCAGTAACAAGCCACTACATACTATATAATTCCATTTATGTGAAATGTCCAGAATGAGGAAAAATCTATAGAGACAGAAAGTAGATTATTGATTGCCTAGGGCTTGCGTAAATGGGAGATGTGGTGGTAATGGCTATTGGGTATGGCATTTCTTTTGAAGGTGATGAAAATGTTCTAAAATTAAGTTGTGGTGACAGTTGCACAACTCTGTGATTGTACTAAAAACCACTGAATTGTATCCTTTAATTGTGTGAATTGTAGGGTACGTGGATTATATCTCAATAAAGCAGTTTAAAAATCTGTCAGTATAATCTATCATATTAACAGATCCAACATGAAAATCTACATAATCATACCAGTTCGTGCATAATATTTATTTTTGAAGTGGAAATGGCCTTTGGAAATGTTATTCCAAAAATAGTCTCTCCACTGGCTACCACTATTCTCATTTCCAGGAGAACCGAAGTGACCCTGCATTGTGTCCAAGCTTGGGCTGACAATGCTTGAGCAAGGCCCTTACTCAACAACAAATCATCCCACTCTAAAGGACCTACTATAGGTCCACAGCCTGCAACTGAAAGGTCCATCCTTGTAATTCCTGAGTTCTTTCAGCCTCTCCAGACCAGAGGAATAATGGACACGTGAACAATACCAATGAGAAAAGACAAAAAGATAAGAGGATGCCAATATCCAGTCTAATTTTGTCGTGAGCCAGGCTGGTCAGACCTTGTCCTGGATGGAAAGTGCTACGTCATGGAAAATAAACAGCTTCATCAGGGCATGAGAGGATGACATTCACTTTTAGGGGCTTGAGCTCTCTCTGTAGCCCCAGGTAGAGCCCATTCTCCAACTTTAAACTCACTCAACTCAGATAATTTTACAGGAAATGAATATGTTTCTAGGTTTTTTGTTATGAAGTGACATATCATACTGAAAATAAGTGCCAGGCTTATGCTGTGTGAGCACTGACAGTTCAGAATTCCTTGAAGTATACAGAAGGTAGGGAAGGGAAAATAGCAAATGTCAAGTGAAGTAAAATCTTACATAATGTAAACAAAAAAAAATTATCTAAAGCAATTATGCTGTTAGCCTCCAGAAGACATGTCACATGAAGCTAAACAATTTAAGTGGTTAGACGGAGATCTGTTTTGAAATTATATGAAGAGAAGGATATTGGAAGACACAAAGAACTGGCTTGTTAAAGAAAATCAGGTAGGGAGGAATACTAATTCAGCAGACAAAGCAGTGACAATAGATTTAAAACAGTGGCACAGGCCAGTGTATGAGCATTAACTCATTTCTGACCTTTCTTCCATTCACTGGGAATGCAGATGGATACACAGAGCTAAGTCCTTTGAAATGGTTCTGGGAAAAGTTTGATTTATTTAGAAGGCCAAGTGTCATCCTTAAGACAAGCTATGTCAACTGTGCTCTGAATTTCTTAAATCTAGATATAGTGGCAGCCTTCCCTGACCCTCACTGTCAGGCTGGATTAGGTACTGCCTCTTCTGCATTCTGACAGCACCCTGGATATACCCTTAGTATAGCACTTAATGTATTATTTTTGAGGATTGTTATTACCTGCCTTTCCCACTGGACAGCAAACTTCTCAATAACTGAGACTTATTGTTGGCATTCCTGTGGTTTTCAGTTATCAAGGGCATCTTATCAGAGTTTATAGGCAGGCAAAGTTTCTCATCTCTGGTGGGCAGTGTTTTACTTTCAGGTGTTCCATAGGCCAATTGGCTTCTTCCCAGATTAGGTAAATCAAAGGGTAATGCCATACCTGGACTCTACTGCAGACCTGGTGGTGAATCAGGCTGTTCTACAATACTGAGCTCCAGTAGTATTTGAGCTCAGCTCCAAAATGGATGCCTTCCACAAAACTGCTCACTTGAGCGGGTTCAATATCATTATATTGGCTTCCATTCCAATGTTTTTCCCTTGGTGTTGTCACAGAGACTTCAGGCATTGGAACTGCACCCCTTCCCCATAGGCACCCTGGTGAGCTTTTGTCATTCCAGCCATGTTTATGTAAGATGCTAAAGAAACAGATTGCTCAGGGACATTCATAGAGCCTGAAAGAATTCATGCACCTTCCCTGTTGCTTTGCATCATGGGAGGTTATGTCTAGGGGGCAGGATAATTTGGCTGTTGAACATTCAAATTTATGTCTCAGATCATGTACCCAGGTCCCAGATATGAAATCAGAAATTTTATGATGTTCCCTACATGCTCCACATCCCCAGACCTAATCCCACATCTTGTTGTCTTTTTTGTTTCTTTAACCCATTCGCTTTCTCTTAGCAGAACTAATCAATGACATAATGGATTATCTGAGCAAGAAGTGTGTTTTCATCAAAACTTCAGGTTATGATCTTTCCACTTATACCAACTAAATAAACATGACAGCAGACACAGTTTCTTTTCTCTGGACTGTCTGTGTCAGTGCTGACACTACCTCAGTTTGAAAAAAGAGAGCAAAAAATAAAGTCCACATGTGTCCCCAAGGTAGCACCAGCCTGTTTGAGATGGTAATTGTCACCAGAGCTATAAGAAGTCCTTTTGGGAATTCAATTCTCCTGCCCTTGCTACCTCTACGGATTAGAGAGAGGGAGATAGACATGCACTGTTCTTTATTTCTGGGAACACACACAGATGGACTTCGGATTGAAGAAATCTGTATTTGTCGAAACCTTTGACCAGAGTTATAAATCTATGTGCTGCGTGGCAGGGATGTCTTTGACTCTGGAATAAAGAACAAAGAGCATTTTCGTTAGTCACGCTGAGGAAAACACTGAAGAAGCAGAAAGCCTGGGAGTGTTGAGGCCACCCCACCTGCACTGGAAGAGCACCCTGCCTTCCCTTTTACCTTCTCAAGGAGAAGCTTCTCTGAGAGTTCTAGCTCCAACTCTGGGGTTTTGAACAATAAAACTAGTATCAAAATCATCCCCCAGACTCCACAAGTCCACTTTTAATGATGATAAGTTTAGACTTTTCATAGACGCATAAAACATCGAAGTAGCCAACCAACACCCTGGTGCTTTATTTCATTGTTGAGCTGAGTGAGTGACGAAGATCCAACATCAACATCACAAAGCCCCAAAAATTCCCACTATATTTGGCAAGATTCTTTAATATACATACATATTTTTTGGTTCACAAATATACTTTCATCATAGGGCATTTAATATAAATATAAAATATAAAATACTAATATAAAAGTATTAGAAAAAAATTTTCATACTCCCATCACAACACATTTTGTTTGTCATGCTCTTTTATGATTAAAGATGTAATTGACATGCTAAATCTTACAGAATAAAAAAGAATAAAATGTGGGTTTCAACTTTGGATTTTTAAATCCTGACATTTGCAGCTGATTTCATAAAACATTAAAGCACACTTGGACAGGGACCTTGTTTGAGATGGGTGGTATATTACAATAGGCTGTGAAAGATTGTGAAATCAAGCCAGCTCCATGGGAATGTGCACAGCACACATCTTCTGTGAAGC
Organism: Homo sapiens; assembly: GCF_000001405.40. Lineage (NCBI taxonomy): Eukaryota > Metazoa > Chordata > Mammalia > Primates > Hominidae > Homo > Homo sapiens. The sequence goes on along the minus strand of NC_000002.12, from coordinate 21,096,693 downwards.
TCTGGCAGTGCCAAGAAATTCTTGTACTCCTAATTGGCCAAATCCTGCTTTCATCACTTGCAGATCATAGCCCACAATCAGTAGAGGGCTTCCAGAGGTGTATGATATTACCCCTGAGTGCTTATCACAGACACTAAAATTCAGGCAGTTAAACTCAAGAGAAAACAACTGGGTAGTGAAAACAGAAAAATGACTGACATTTGCGGATTTCTGTTGTTGATCCTGCACTGATTAGGACCAAGCAGGAGTCTCCAGCTGCCACGCAGAAGGAAAGAGGCAGATCTTTGAAGGATGGTTTCTAACAACTTGTGAAGTTACCTGGGGTTAGACGGGAGTTCTGGTAAGAATGAGGATCAGCAAGGTGCTAAGCCAGCTTCTATTGGCCTTAAATCCATGTATTTATTGAAATGTTACCTGGTTTGGAGTGATCTTAAGTTGTTCTGTAAGCTCTGTGGTACCCCACAGGCCATCTGAAGAAGTCTACTTAAAGATGTTGGCTCCCTGGATCTGGGATTGATGTGTACACCCCTGCCTTTTTCACCTTGCTTTACATGGCATTCTTAATTTTCAATTCTGAAATTTAAAAGAAAAAAAAAATAGCACTCTGCTGGCTTCAGTTTCATCATCTGTACAATGACGGGTTGGACGGGATTATCTCTGAGTAGTCTCCCCAGCTCTGCATTCTGTGCTCCATCATTCTAAAGACTAAATGTCCTGCATCAGGCAGGAACAGTGTGATCACTACTCCAGGTCACCACTGCTGACCTGTTGGAAAAGCTGGGATATTTACTAAAGTGACGCTTCAGTCCTTCAGTGATTGCCCCACAAAATCCAGTTCTTCACTTGTCATTTACTGTGTAAGAGGCTAGGGCCTATGACAAGGGGACTTCAAAGAAAGGAGAACAAAATAAAGCAGATGTGGGTGAGAGGCAATACTTTTGCTTTTTTGTGTTTTCAACAATTTGCTTCTTATTTTTATCTTTTTGAGTTTCAGATGCACATCACTTATGAACTGATTGCCACTTTTGTTTACTGCCTTCGTTTCTCAGCTAGCAATTTCTTAAATGATTTCTAGAATAGTTTTGTCTTAATTTCAACATTCTCCTGACAAGGTCTTTAGAGTGCTTGGAATGCACACTAATTTTCAAAAAGTTTTGTTATTTTAATCTCTAACAACTGTGAGGTGGAAAGCTCTAATTCCTTCTTTTGAGTCGTGAGGAAAGTGACATGCATGGATATTGAACAGCTCTAGACAGCAGAATTGGTCTTGCATTCAAGGTCACTGAATGGTGTACAATTACAGTTCTGAAGGAGAGAGGAGGGACTGCCCAGCATGAATAGAGTCACATGGATATCTAATTTCCCTACAGATTGCTCTAAGGCAGATAGCTCATTGGTGGCAGCATCTACATAAATACCCAGAGAATTTTATTTCTTCACCAGATATCTTCCTTCTACCCTTTTTGTGTTAAGTCAACTCCCTTGTCCCCACTTTATGACCCACCACTGACAACATGTAACATTTGGACATTGAAATTGTCCCGTTTAGGCTGGCACAGTGGCTCACGCTTGTAATCCCAGCACCTTGGGAGGCCGGAGGGGGGGGGGGGGGTGGATCACGAGGTCAGGAGTTCAAGACCAGCCTGACCAACGTGATGAAACCCCGTCTCTACTAAAAATACAAAAATTAGCCAGGTGTGGTGGCACGCCGCCTGTAATCCCAGCTACTCAGGAGGCTGAGGCAGGATAATCGCTTGAACCCGGGAGGTGGAGGTTGCGGTGAGCTGAGATTGCACCACTGCACTCCAGCCTGGGCGACAGAGTGAGACTCCATCTCAAAAAAAATAAAAAAAATAAAAGAAATTATCCCATTTAATTTCAGGCCAAAATTGCAAATCCTTCAAATCTCCCAGAAGAGCAGAAGAAAAACAACTCAACAATATTTAAGAAAGTTAACTGGTGAGGTTAACTCAGAACCCCCAGGTGAATTAGGTCATCTCTGTCCCCTCCCCTGAAGACCTCGTGAACTCTGAGGGTATGAAATGGAATTGAGAGTTGGGGACTGCATTCTCCAGAGATCGATGATGAAGGAGTTGAGAAAACAAGCTTCATCCCCTAACCCCAAAAAACAATTTACCTCACTAGTACAAAGCCATTTGGTAGAATCTGTGTTATAGAATCAGGTAACTTGAAGAAATGATGTGAAGTCATCCAGTTTATCCCCTACTTTCAAATAACTAACAAGGTTGCACTGAATTACTTCCTTGCCTTCAGACATGTACTAGGATGAACTCTATGGCGTTCTTCAGGACTTGCATTATTTCAAAAAGTCCTTTGGTAATCCTTTCCAATGTCTGACCAACACCAACCACCCAATTAATATCTAACCTAAACCCTTCCTGTTACTTATTTAAGTCATTTATTTTCTTTGATACCTTGGGAGACATGGGACAGCAGCAGGTCTCCTTTTCAGGAATCTTTCTCAATGCGTGAACTGCCCTTATTATAATGCAGAGTGAGTGAAACATTCGAGGGAGAATCTCAAAAACATGAATTGTTTAATTCTCAAATAATAAAGGAAATCTGGTAAAGTTATGGTTTTGACTTTTCCACCTACTAGCTCTGTGCTCTTGGACAAGTGATGTAGCATCTCTAAATATCAATGTATTCTTTTGTAATGTAGCTGTAATACTTAAACCAAAGATTATTATAAATATTCAAAAGCATAATATATGCAAAATGGTCAATTGTGAAGCACAATACCAATACTAGGTATAGTAATAATTATCAATTTGTCATGAGGATTAAGTCAGAAGAATCATGGTGAAATAACAATTGTTGAGAAAGTGTGGAGAAACTGGAACTCGGGCATTGCTGGTGGGAATGTAAAATGGGACAGCAGCTATGAAAGCAGTATTGCAGTTCCTCAAAGTTATTAAACATCGCCAGTGATTCCACTCCTGGATATACACCCAATAAGAGGTGACTCAAACAGATATTTGTACACCAGTGCTCATAGCAACATTATTCACAATAGCCAACAGGTGGAAATGATCCAAATATCCATTAATGACTAAACAGATAAGCAAAAAGTCATATACACTTACACACACACACACACACACACACACACAATGGAATATTCTTCAGCCTATAAAAATAATGAAGTTCTGACATACGTTAAAACATGGATGAACCTTGAGGACATTATGCTAAGTGAAATAAGTCAGACACAAAAGGACAAAGATTGTGTGATTCCACCTATATAAGGTACCTAGAGTAGTTGAACTCATAGAGACAGAAAGTAGAATGGTGGTTTTCCCAGGGGCTGGGGAGAAATTGTTTAATGAGTAGAGAGTTTCAGTTTGGATGAAAAGTTCTAGAGATGGGTGGTAGCTGTACAATAATGTAAATGTACTTAATGCCACTTAACTAGATAGTTTAAAATAGTTAAAGGGTAAATTTTATGTTATGTATATTTTGCCACAATTTTAAAAGGAAGCAATGGTCACTGCATAGTCCTTTCTTGGCAGAGGACTGCGGGATACCAATACAAAAGAAAAGATACAGGAGTTACCATTTTGTTAGGGATACTGGATAAATACATAAAACAATCAAGACTGATAGACAACTACTTTGTGATTCAAGGCTGCTGTAAGAGGGGAAAGGTGGGGTAGTGAGCATGCTGGATTGGAGTGAAAAAAGAAGGCTTGCTTCATGGACATGCAGACCTGGGTTATACACAGGTCTTTGATAGGCACAAAAAATAAAACAAAAACAACAACAAAAATCCTTGATTATTTTCAGGCCTCAGAAGCATTTTTCTAGCAACTAGTACTTTGGGCTTCACCCTGGAAAATCGCCATTTTCCTCCAGTACCAACTTGAACTCCAGGGATCCTGTGAAATATTGATTCATGAGCATTTTATATTGCATAACCCCTTCATGCCAAGGGACTGCCCAGAGAGCTAGAGAAATTCTAGCTAGACAATCTTAAATACATGTTTAAAATTGGGAACAGGGAGAAATGACATAGAGAAAATCCAAAGGCCAGGTATTGATTGACAAATTACCTGGGGTAAGCTGAGATAAGCAACAGTAAATCATTAATGTCACTAAAGACCTGCAGTTCAATCCTGCGGCACAGTGGTACAACGTTGCTGCTCTAAGCACAGTCTTTTCAGTGTGCCAAAAAAGATGAACCTCTGCTTTGCTGATGGCAGAAAGAGGTTATGAAAGTAGGTTTTTGTAGACAGGGTGACATCAGGCTGGGTAATATAATGAGAAGAGCACAGACTTATGTGACAGACAAATGTGGATTCAAATGTCACTTCTATCACTTGCTACCTTGTGAATTTGACAGTTGTTTCACATCTCTTAGCTTCTCATATGGAGAGTAATAACACCCACATCACTGGGTTTGGGACAAGATGATGACAATTTATATAATGTCCTTCACACATAAAGGACAATTTAATAATGAGAAAAAAAATAGCCATAAGGTTTTCAATGGAGGCAGCTATGATTACTTCTATATTATGATAAAAATATTATAATAGCGCTAATGTATATAGCACTAACATTATCCCCAGGACTATTGTAAATACTTTATGTTATAGACTCTTAACTTTGGAAAGATCCTGTGAGATAGAAACTGCGGTTATCCCTACTTTACATTTGAAGAAATTGAAGCACAGAGAGGTTAAGATATTTGCCAAAGTTCACAAAGCTAATAATTATTGTTGCTGGTGCAGTGATGTAGAGCAGAGAGAAAATTTAATAGGCTCCTTAGGAATGAATTCATTAGAGGAAATTAGAACCATAGTAAAAATACATCCCTCAAAAAGGCACCAGGCCCCAATAAATCATGATATATAAATTGTTAAAGACCAAAGAAAAAGCTGAAAACTTCCTAGTTTGCATCTAGCATAAACACAATGCAAAAATTGGACAAAAATAAGATGTAAAAGAAAACTATAAACCAATAAAACATTTTAATACACTTACAAAAATTATAAGCAAAGTCCAGCATTGCATTAAAAGGATACCATTTCATGGTCTTATTTAAATATATTTCTACTTCAAGGACTCTACTAAAAACATGAAACTTTAGTTTTAATAAATGAGATGATTGGAGAAGACAAAAGAAAATATCTTTAAATCCCTATGGCAGATAATAGAAAGGCTTTCTGTGGTCATATTAAGTTTCTATACAGCACTATAAATAAATAAAGACAATGAAATAGAAATTGCCATGTCAAATTAATATGATACTTTATTTCATACATAAGGCAATTAAAATATTTAAAGATGAAATGTACCAATTTTTATTACTTAAAGCTCTCATATTTTTGGTAATTTTAGAATTCAAAAGTTTTAATATTGATAAACACATAGTTAAGTATGTACATTTTCCCAATTAGTAATGAAAAAGAAATAGATCACCTATAAAGATTCAGGTTCCTTTTTGTTTGCAGTAAGACTATAATTCTAAAAAAGACTTTCATGAGTAAAATTGTACCTGAAGAATACCAAACATACTCCAGAGGAATGTGGTGTTGGCTCAGTTCCTTCCTCTTTCACCTGATATGAGTTACTGAAAGTAAAATATAGCCTGGAATACTTCAAAAATCCATGGAGAAATGGAAAGATATTCTACTTGTAAGAGACTGACATGAAGCATGCTATTTTAGTTTCTTATTGTACAAGCCATTTGATGAAGAATTTTATGAATTAACGGACTACTTAGGAAACATTAGAACAAGATATTATTAATCAAAACTTGTGAAATATAGAAAACTTTATAGCCCCAAATGCCTTCTAATTAAACAAAAAAATTAACAACCCTCGAAGTATTAGAAAGGGAAAAACAAAATAAAATCAAGGAAAGCAGAAGAAAGAAATAAAAATAAAAGCAAAAATAAATAAGTTAGAAAATGGTAAAATTGTGAAATCAAAACTCACATTCTTTGACAATACATGAGCCCTCAGAAACTGTAATCAATAAGAGCAGTGCATGGCAGGAATTTAAAAACTGATATAACCACTGAAAATTTAATAAAATTTAACAAAAATTAAATTAGAAGAGGGGACATAACAAATATTACAAATTTTAATGAAAAGAATGAATAGATCCATAACACTAGAGGAAATTAGAACCATAGTAAATATATATATATATATATACATGTCCTTCAAAGGGCATGAGGCCCTGATAACTCATGATATATAAATTGTTAAAGATTAAAGAAAAAGCTGATAAACTTCTCAGTTTGCATCTAGCATAAACTCAGTGACAAAACTGGACAAAGATAGGATAAAAAAGAAAACTATAAATCAATGAAACACTTGAACATACACAAAAATTATAAACAAAATGAAGTCCAGCATTGCATTAAAAGAATACCATCTTACGGTCATATTTAAATATAGTTCTACTTTAAGGACTCTATTAATGTAATAATTGGAATTTATTACATAGGAAGATTTAAGGGGAACAGCTATATGATATAGTTAACAGGTGTGAAAATCTTCAATAAAATTTAACACTCATTTCTGATTAAAACAACAACAAAGCCACTGGGTAAGTTAGAAATAAAAGGAATCTTCTTAACTCAAAAAGCATATCTCGGGCCGGGCGCGGTGGCTGACGCCTGTAATCCCACCACTTTGGGAGGCCGAGGCGGGCGGATCACGAGGTCAGGAGATCGAGACTATCCTGGCTAACACGGTGAAACCCCGTCTATACCAAAAATACAAAAAGTTAGCCGCGCTTGGTGGCGGGCGCCTGTAGTCCCCGCTCCTCGGGAGGCTGAGGCAGGAGAATGGCGTGAACCCTGGAGGCGGAGCTTGCAGTGAGCCCAGATCGCACCACTGCACTCCAGCCTGGGAGACAGAGCGAGATTCTATCTCAAAAAAAAAAAAAAAAAAAAAAAAAACTAAAGCAAACTGATACTTTCAGAAGCTTATTTCTCACTTGAGTGTAAGTTCAAGGCAAAACATTCAGCAGGCAACTTTCAAGTCCCCCATGCAGTCTTTCATGTCTTTAAGAACCCTGGCATCTCCTGGCCCCGTCTCTTAGAAACTTTTCAACTACATCCAGCCTTCAAAAAGGATGAAGTACATACGAAGGCTTCTATGGGCGTGGCAAGCATGGCTGTTGACACTGCACCAAAAAGAACTTAGTCGCCTGGCTCTACCTAACTGAAGGAGACAGGGAGATGGACTCTAGCTGTGTGCCCGAAGGGAGAACTGGAAGATTGTTTTGGTGGACACTTTGTGCTCTCTGCCACAGTCAGCTTCTCTGGCTACTATATATCTTCACATACTCTTCTTCACACTCATCTTTCCCCAAAGGGAGATGACCCCAAACCCCAGGCAGTTACTGAACTCATCTCAAAAGTCAAGAACTCAGGGCTGCACATTCCCGTACATCAAATATGGATGTGGTTTGTTATGATTTGATGAACTATCAAGTAAACATGTTAAATGCTCTTCTACATCTACCCACCCAAAACAAATTAGTGGAGCAGTAGAACAGCTGCAATAAAAACTCCTATATAGAAAAGGGAGAATGGAAAACACACGAAACCTCACCTCAAACCGAAAACTAAAGTCCTCATAGATCTATATCTGAACATGAAATATCTAAATATGAAAGAGTGAACCATGAAATTTCAGAAGGTAATACAGGAAACTTTTAAAATTGTGGAGTAAAAAGGCCTCATGAGCATGACACAACAACCAGAAATCTTAAAGTGAAAAATGAACAGATTTGTCCTCATTAAAATGTAAAACATCTGTGTCTCTGAAGATACCTGAAATGAAATTTAAAGGCACATGTAACAAGTATTTGCAAAGTAGGTGACAATTGCTTAGTATCCCTAATATCAATACAAAAGGGAAACAACACAAAATATAAATGGAGGCTTTCACTTTCAAGATGGAACACTAATTGCACGATGATATCCTCTCCTTTCTCAGCTTCTGTCCTTCCACTCTAAGCCTTAAGTTATTTTTTAAGTATATGAATGTATAGCTTGTTTTCTAAATTCAAAGAGATTTTTGGCTAATCAAAATGATGAGAAATCCCAGAAAGTCTAAAAGTACACAGGCTGTTTGCAGAGAGTAATTGTAGTCTGGAGTTTGTACTGGAAACTTTTAGAAAGTCCTGCCACAGAAGACGGGAGCATCACCAAGGGTGCCCATGCTTAGACATGGTAGAAGGTAGGACTAGACAGGAGGTGGAAGCTAAGGCAAATCATAAGAAAATGAGTTGAGGCATCCACTCTGGTCATGCCATGTACATCCCACTCTTTACCTCTCTACCAGTTCAAGTCTGTCTCTGCATAGGAGCCAGCCTAAGAATGAGGGGCAGGGTCAGCAATACCCATCTCAACTTTCCCTCATTCTCACTGAAAACAGTGAGGAGCACAAACCTCAAAAGCTGTTTCTATACCTCCCCTAAGGCTGGCTGTGGGAGTGAAAGCATAAGGAGTCTAGCGGGGAATTCAAATCACCAAGATGAGCCTACAGTCAAGAATCAACAATATTTAGCATGCAGCCTCCATAAAAAAATATATATAACAGCCCAACAGAATTACAACTTTGAAAAATTTAATAGATGATAAGAAAAGGACTTTTCTTAAGAAGCTTAATTAGTGTCTTCAAATATAGTATGGCATCAAAATAACGAATAAGGAGCTATCTGTGATAAAACAAACCAAAGTCAAACCCTGGAAATTTTAAAAAATGTAATTATTAAAATAAAAAATTCAGTAGATGCAAATAGAAAAATGAGAACAGCTGAAAAGGGAATTTGATATATAGAAGACAGAACGTAGGAATGTAGCACAAGGTGATAAAAAAAGTTGAAAACTTAAAAGACATGGAAGAGAGTTCTGTTAAGTCATAACTTCTAGCTAATAGCTAATAAAGAAAATAGAAGGGAAGTAAAATCTGAAGAAATAATAGGATGGAATTTCTTATAAGTGAAGAAAAATATAAGCCCTCAAATGGAAACAGTTCACCAACCACAGAGCAGGATTTAAACAAACAAACACATCACAAAAACAAAAGGCCCCACATCTGTACAAATGTAATGAGAATTCAGAGCATTAAGGATATAGTCAATATGTTAAAAGCTATAAGTATAAAGAGTAACTATTGAAGATTTCAGAGAGAGTGAAAAAAAGATTGTTTATAGTAATTCTAATCAAATTTGGCATAGATTTTTCATAGATAATATTGGATGAAGAAAAGACATTGGAGCAATACCTTCAGTTTGCTGAATAAGAAGAAGTTCAAATCCAAATTTCTATTGTCAGCCAAAATATCATTAATATGTGAGGAAGAAATAAGATGTTTTTCAAACATCCAGGGATTCAGAGTTTTATTTTTTTTTATTTTTTATTTTTATTTATTTATTTTTTTTGAGATGGAGTCTTGCTCAGTTGCCCAGGCTGGAGTGCAGTGGCGCGATCTCGGCTCACTGCAAGCTCTGCCTCCCGGGTTCACGCCATTCTCCTGCCTCAGCCTCCCCAGTAGCTGGGACTACAGGCGCCCACCACCACGCCTGGCTAATTTTTTTGTATTTTTAGTAGAAACGGGGTTTCGCCATGTTAGCCAGGATGATCTCGATCTCCTGACCTCGTGATCCACCCACCTCGGCCTCCCAGAGTGCTGGGATTATAGGCATGAGCCACCGCGCCGGGCCCCAATTCAGAGTTTTAATAACACAGCAGAATCTCTCTGAAAGCTGAAACTACTACTAGAGAATACACAAAGAAAATGAATCCAGGACCTCACGAGGAGCTGCAGTGGTTAGCAAAGAAAGCCAAAAATCTATTTTTCTATGAAATATAATTGCAAAACTATATTTAATAAATACTCTGTGCCAAAAATTCCAGGTTATTTCAACATGGGTTGTGGAAAATAGAAGTGTAGGTGCTGATGAAGAATTTAGGGAAAAAAGCATTCTAAGGTTCATCAAAAGGGGACAATGGACAGTGATTATAGATACTATTAGAAAATACAAATTCAACCACTTGTGACTAAAAAGTTAATATAACCACTGGAAGAATAAAGATAGAATATAGTTTTCAAAACAGTACATGAAAAGTGGAACAAAGAAAATTTCATTAATCCCTGAAAAGGCTGGGAAGGGGAAACAAGAAAACAAGAAAGAAAGGAAGGTTAAAATGAAAACACAAAATAAGATGGCAGGAGTAGGTTTAAATATATATTTTTAATAACCATAAATATGGCTTGAACCCAGGAGGCAGAAGCTGCAGTGCGCCGAGATCGTGCCACTGCACTCCAGCCTGGGCAACAGAGAGAGACTCTGTCTCACAAAATAAATAAATAAATAAATATGAATGGGGTAAATTTGTTTCATAAAAGGTAAAATATCAGGTTGGATTTTTAAGACTCCGGCTAAGTGCTGCTTACTGGAGAGAGCCAAAACCATGATGATTCCAAGTTTGAAAGCCTACACCTGGCAGGTACTAACAGTAGGATGGGAACAGCAACATCAGTATCAGACAAAATAGAATTGAAAGTCAAAGCATTAAAAGTATCAAAACAGGACATTTCATATTGTCAAATAATTTACCAGCAAGATATAATGATCATGAACCTAAAATGCCTCAATATCATTTTGAAATACCTAAAAAGTTAGTAAAATCACAAAAGAAAATTAACAAATACACATCACATCATAGTGGTCTGTTACAGTCTGCTACTATGATATACTATGAATAAAAATATAGAGTATTTAAATATAAAATTAACAAGGTTATCCTAATAGATATACATAGAACTTACACCTAACTGAGAATACACAGTTTACTTGATAACATGTACCAAAAAAAAATGCTCTTATAGAAGCCACTAAGGAAATTACAGCAAAATTTTAAATATGTATATATAAACTACTTAACTAAGCACAATATGTTAAAATTAGAAATTTTTTTAAAAAAGAACCCAGACAGCTAGATATTTTATGTCACTTCTAAATAATTCATTGGATAAGGAAATAACAAAATTGAAGTTTCAAATTATTTTGGAATGAATGAAAATGAAAGCACTCCTGTCCTATACAGACTCTGTATAGTCAACTTCACCCAATATCTGCTCAATAAATGCTGCTGAAGAAAGGGAAAAGATTAGCGATGATCTTAATCATAACTAAAATACTATGTTCATTATCCTCTGATGAGGATGCCCTCATTATGGAAAAATTTCTTTTGGAATGACAAAAATTATTTTAAAATGCTCTTCTTAAAAAGAATAGCTACATAGAAAGCAACTATCTAGGATAACTCAGTTACTAAAGAGTCCAGGAGAGTTTAGAACTTTGTGAAGCTTTGCAATAGTTTATTGTACGCCAGCATTTCAAATCTTTTTTTAAACAAATAAATAGTAAAGTAACTAAAAGAATAATGGAGTTAAATTTAGGCATAAACTCTAAACATAAAAGCAATGTACTATATGAAAGGTCTTTGAAATAAAACAGGATGGAGAGAAGGTGATTCTAATACAATTTTGTCTCCAGGGACATATATCATCAAACTCCTCCAGTATAAGTGCTTTTCTATTATATTCTTATATCTTATTCATTTGTGTGTATTCAGAGTGTTTTATTCTAAGACTCTATCTATGGCTGAGTAAACTTCTTGGTATCTATAGGCTTTATATTTTATGGAATATTTGTATATAAATGTTTTCATCAAATTACTAAATCAGTGACAATTTATGGAACATGAAGAGCTGAATTAATAAATTCACTGAAGCAGAAGGAAAAGGCTTCATTGATCTTGAGCTCTTAAATATCAAGCTTTATGCATTCTGAACTGATTCCATTTCTAATGGAAAAAATTATAAGTACATAAAAAATAAAGATAGGTTTATATCAAGGAGTTAGAGAAGACGAGGCTTAGGAGATAATTTGAAGCCTATTGGTATAGGGACTTGAAAACTTTAGTTTGAGTCGGACCTCAGAGATTATCCGATGTTCAATTAACCCCTTAACCTTACACTAAAAGGAACAATGCCTCAAGAATCCTTCTAATATCTTATAACCCCTTCCTGGATAATGAGCACAAAATAGCATTCATAATGAGGAATCTGGCCTATAGTCAGCGGGTAACCACTGGGGATTCTGAATTGAATTAAAAGAATGACACAGTCATAATCACATCTCTTGTGGTGAGTTTAGGATCAGTAAGGCTAAGGAGATCCTTGAAGCCAGTTCAAAGTCTCTTGTAATCTGTCAGATTCTAGGAATAAAAGCCAAGACGAGAAAATGTCAAGCAACTAAATATCCCTCTCTTAACATTCTGTACCTTTGAAAAAACACTTTTATTTTTATTTATGTATTTATTTATTTATTCGTTTATATTGAGACGGAGTTTTGCTCTTGTTGCCCAGGCTGGAGTGCAATGGAGAGATCTTGGCTCACTGCAACCTCCACCTCCCAGGTTCAAGCGATTCTCCTGTTTAGTTTTTTATTGTTATTATTATAATCATTATACTAAAAGAAATTTAGGATCCAATAGTGTTCTATATTGAATGACAAGAGGAAAATTGTCATTGTTGTCATTATTGAAGAATTCCCCCAATGGAGAAAAATTACTTCGTAGGAAGAACATGGGTTTTGTAATCAGAGACCATGTTCAAATACCAACTCAGCCACTTGCCAGCTAACCTTGATATTTCACCTGTCTTAGTGGAGGCTGTCGTCCATGACAGCCTTCAGTACTGTGGTGTGTGATGTTATCCTGAGGCTCAAGCTGGTACTACTACCTTCCTCCTTGGGAGAACAGTAGGGAAAGGGTGAACCTGGGAGTCCTAGCTTCATCATTAGTGTATATTCCTTCAGTTGCATTATTATTTGTTTTGGGTTTTGAGACCGCTATTTTGTGGGGCTCTGAGTATCCTCTGATATTCACCCAAAAGGCAAGCTTCAGCCAAATTTTACAGTGTACTAGGAACACATCACTCAGTTCCAAACCAGTTTCAGTTTCCCTAATCTCACCTCTGAGCTCAACTCCCCCAGAACAATGTGGGCAATAACAGGGTAAAACTAGAACCTCCTTTTCTCAAGTTATTTCCTAAAAGTTCCCCCTGATGCCTTCCCTTTCCAATTCACCACTTCCTACCTATATAAGTCCCCAGCACTCTTCTGCTTCCCCATGAATCCTCATGGGTTTGTGTGTGTATGTGTGACTTTCTGAGTATGGTTTCTTAAGGGGAGTTCCTTCAACCCCTTCCTCTCTTCTGTCCATCTCAAGATTTTGGCTTAGGGAAGGAGTCATTAGGCAATACTAGTTTGACATTTTATCTTTTTAGAGATGAGGAAGCTGAAGAACAAATACACTTTAGGGGCTAGGCTAAAGTCACATATTTCATAAATGGGAGAGTTAGGATTTGACCTCAGTCACCCTCATTCTAGGGCCTTTGCATTTTAGCATGCTGCTATGGGGATATTAAATAATTTGAAATTAGAAAACTAGATCAACAAAATAGAATTGATAGTCCAGAAGATGATCAGTATATATAAGGATTTTTTATGCAATAAAAGCAGCATTTCAAATCAATGTTGAAAATTGATTTGTCAATAAATGGCATTAGTAAAAATTACTAAGGTTCAAACTTTCACTACTATTGATGCCAAAATAAACTTCAGATGAATCCAAGAAATAAATGTAAAAAAATGAAATCATAGAAGAACTAGAAGAAAACACAGAATAAATTTTTTTAGTAGAGAAGACTACGTAAGATAAAAAATTTGTATGTCTTCTGAACATCACTTCTACTCCTGGGACTATATCCTACCAATCGACTTACACATAACCACAAAGATAGGTATACTGGCTGTTTATTGAAGCATCTTTTAAAAATTGTTGTTGCTTTTCTTTAACAGAGAAGGACTTGATACAACTTAAAAGTGTTTTATGGGGCATAGGGGTTTGTTGAATAAATAGTCACAACAAGATTTTACATATATGCAATAATATAAAATATAGCCATTCAAAAAGTAACGTAGATGTATACCTGCTCATATTATATCAAAGACAATATTTTGTACCAAGTTCAGAAGTTGTCAGTCATTTTTAATCATTAGCTTGAAAAAGGGAGAAATGAAATCAAACCCTAACAATAAAACATATCTATGTATTGGGGGTTAGTTATCAAGGTTGGTAAGTGTGTGGGGAGGGGATTGTTGGTGAGAGAATAAATCAGTTCAGCTTCTTTGGAGTGGAAGGCAATGTGATAATATCTGCCATCACTTACTAGTTTTGTGATGCTGAGCTTTATTTTCTTCACAGGCAAATTGGAAATACTAAAACCTACTTCCTAGTTTTGTTTTAAAATTAAATGAGGCACAGTGCCTAGCACATAGTTGGTATTTAATAAATATTAACTCCTGTCTTAGCTCAGAATGCCATAACAAAATACCATAGACTAGATGGCTTAAAAGAAAGAAGTTTATTTCTCACAGTTATGGAGTCGGGTGAACTCCAAGATTAAGGTGCTGGTAAGGTAGGTTTCATTCTGAGTTCTCCTCTTGTGGCTTGTAGGTGGCCGCCATCACACCATGTGCTCACATGACTTCTTCTTTGTATACATATGTGCAGGAAGAGAGAGACAGCAAGCAAGCTCCCTGATGTCTCTTCTTACAGGGCTCCACCCACACAACCTCATCTAATCCTAATTACCTTCCAAAGGCCCCATTTTCCAAATTCCATCACGTTGGGAGTTAGGGCCTCAATATATAAATGGCAGAGGGGTTGAGGCATAAACATTGAACCTGTAACATTCCACCCCTGGACTCCAAAAATTCATTTTCTTCTCATATGCAAAATATATACTCGCTCCATTCCAATAGCCCTAAAGTCTTAACTCATTGTAGCATCAGTTCTTAAGTCTGAAGTCTCATCTAAATAGTATCTAAATCAAATATGGGTAACACTTGAGGTATAATTCATCCTGAAGCAAAAAAAAAAATCCTTTCTAGTGATGAGCCTGTGAAACCAGACACATTACATGCTTCCAAATTACAATGGTGGGGCAGGCATAGGATAGGCATTCCCATTCCAAAAGGGAGAATACAAAAGAAGAAAGGGTGATAGCAAGTCCAAACTTAGCAAGACAAATTCCATTAGGTCTTAAAGTTCAAGAATTATCCGCTTTGCTTTGATGTTCTGCCCTTTCGAGGTGCATTGGAGTGGCATTGTCACCCCCCAGCTCTGTGGGTGGCCCAACCCCTTCAGTTCTGTGGGGGTAGCCTTATTACCTCAGCTGAGGGTAGGGGGAAGCTCCATCCATTGAATTCTCAGAAAGTCCCCATCCATGATCTGCTGGGCACAGCACTACCCTTTGAAACTGAGGTGGAGGCAGCCTGTCCCACTGGGCCCGGACCATGGTGAGAGTGGCAGTCCTAAGGACTTCTGAATCATCCTTGGGTTCCTTCTCTGTTCTTGAAAGGTAGCACACGTTCAAAGCGAAATACTCTATGGTTTCATCCTGTAAAATCCAAAAAGTCTGACAGCCTTCCTCCATTCTCTACTACCTTTTCTGTCTCCTTTACTTCAAACTGGCAGTATCTCTGATGGCATAATCCAATCTGTATTCCCAGCCTCTGTTGAGATGGCTGATTAAGTCCATGAGTTGCACCCATGATCTTTTTCAAATGGTTGTTTAGCCACACCCTTAGTGTTCTCTTCAGAACAAGCTTTCTTCTTCTTTGCAATAATGTTAGGTTGAGAATTTTCCAAAATGTTTTGCTTAAAAATTCATTCTTCAATTCATGTTTCTCTTTTTGCATTTTATTATAAGCAGTCAGAATAAACTAGGCTTCTCCTTCAAACACTTTGCTTAGCAATCTCCTCAGCTAAATATCCAGTTTCATTGCTTACAAGTTTTACCTCACACAAAACACCAGAACGTAGTTCAGCCAAGTACTTTGCCACTTTATAACAAGAATTGCGTTTCTTCCAGTTTCCAATAACATGTTCCCTATTTCCATGCCAGAACCACCCTTAATGTTTATATTTCTAGCATGCAACTCAAAACTCTTCTGGCCTCATCTACACTCCCACCAACAGGGTAAAAGCATTCCTGTTTCTCCACATCCTCTCCAGCATCTGTTGTTGCCTGACTTTTTAATGATCACCATTCTAATTGGTGTGAGATGGTATCTCATTGTGGTTTTGATTTGCATTTCTCTAATGACCAGCGATGATGAGCTTTTTTTCATGTTTATTGGCCACATAAATGTCTTTTTTTGAGAAGTGTCTGTTCATATCCTTCACCCACTTGTTGATGGGGTTGTTTTTTTTTTCTTGTAAATTTGTTTAAGCTCTTTGTAGATTCTGGATATTAGCCCTTTGTCAGATGGATAGATTGCAAAAATTTTCTCCCATTCTGTAGGTTGCCTGTTCATTCTGATGATAGTTTCTTTTGCTGTCAGAAGCTCTTTAGTTTAATTAGATTCCATTTGTCAATTTTGGCTTTTGTTGCCATTGCTTTTGGTGTTTTAGTCAAGAAGTCTTTGCCCATGCCTATGTCCTGAATGGTATTGCCCAGGTTTTCTTGTAGAATTTTTATGGCTTTAGGTCTTACATTTAAGTCTTTAATCCATCTTGAGTTAATTTTTGTCTAAGATGTAAGGAAGGGGTCCAGTTTCAGTTTTCTGCATATGGATAGCCAGTTTTCCCAACACCATTTATTAAATAGGGAATCCTTTCCCCATTGCCTGTTTTTGTCAGGTTTGTCAAAGACCAGATGGTTGTAGATGTGTGACATTATTTCTGAGGCCTCTGTTCTCTTCCATAGGTCTATATATCTGTTTTGGTACCAGTACCATGCTGTTTTGGTTACTGTAGCCCTACAGTATAGTTTGAAGTCAGGTAGCAAGATACCTCCAGCTTTGTTCTTTTTGCTTAGGATTGTCTTGGCTATACTGGCTCTTTTTTGATTCCATATGAAATTTAAAGTAGTTTTTTCTAATTCTGTGAAGAAAATCAATGGTAGCTTGATGGGGATAGCATTGAATCTATAAATTACATTGGGCAGTATGGCCATGAATGACAGTGTGGCGATTCCTCAAGGATCTAGAACCAGAAATACCTTTTGACCCAGCAATTCCATTGCTGGGTATATACCCAAAGGATTATAAATCATTCTACTATAAAGACATGTATGTTTATTGCAGCACTGTTCACAATAGCAAAGACTTGAAACCAACCCAAATGTCCATCAGTGATAGACTGGATGAAGAAAATGTGGCACATATACACCATGGAATACTATGCAGCCATAAAAAAGGATGAGTTCATGTCCTTTGCAGGGACATGGATGAAGCTGGAAACAATCATTCTTAGCAAACTAGCACAGGAACAGAAAACCAAACACCGCATATTCTCACTCATAAGTGGGAGGTGAACAATGAGAACACACGGACACAGGGAGGTGAACATCACACACCTGGGCCTGTCAGGGGGTTGGGGGATAAGGGAGGGATAGCATTAGGGAAATACCTACTGTAGATAATGGGTTGATGGGTGCAGCAAACCACCATGGCACGTGTATACCTATGTCACAAATCTGCATGTTTTGCACATGTATCCCAGAACTTAAAGTATAATAAAAAAGGGGGGTATTTTGGCCGCTTTGATCACTTACACTTGCGATTCCAGCACTTTAGGAGGCTGAGGCTAGAAGATCGCTTGAGAACAGGAGTTCAAGATTAGCTTGGGCAACATAGCAAAACCCTGTGTCTACAAAAATAAAAATAATCAAACAAACAAACAACAAAAAAAAACTTTTCTGGCCTCTACCCATTACCCATTGCCCAGTTTCAAAGCTGCTTCCACATGTTTAGTTATGGTTACAGTAGCACCCTGCTTCTCAGTACCAAAATATGTCTTAATCTGCTCAGGCTGCCGTAAAAAATTATGAGTTGTGTGGTTCAAACAACAGACATTTATTTTCTCACAATCTGGAGGCTGAAAGTCCAAGATCAAGATGCTGGCAGGGTCAAGTTCTAGTGAGGGCTCTCTTCCTGGCTTGCAGATGGCTACCTTCTTATTATGTGTTCACATGACCTCTTTTGCAAGCATGGAAGGAGAAAGAACAAGCTCTCTCACATCTCTTTTTATAAGGGCACTAATCCCATCACGAGCACCCCACCCTCATGGCCCCACCTAACTTTACCACCCAAAGGCCCATATCCAAATATCATCACACTGGGGGGTTAAGTCTTCAATATATGACTTCTGGGGGAGACACAAACATTCAGTCCATAACACCTCTACATGCATAAGCACAACTCTGGGGAAGAAAAAAACACTAGCTCAGACTTCAGTTTCTGTTGGAGCAGATGTTAAGGGATAGATTCCAGGATTTTATGTTTAAACTGGGATTTAATTTTTACATCAGAGGATATATTCCAGGAGATATATATATATATATATTCCAGGATATATTCCAGGATATAAGCCTTAAGGCAGAAGCATGATCATCCTACCAGGCATGTAGCAGGTTTATTATCCCCAACAGAGGTTTGGAAAGAAACCATTTCCTCATTGATCTATTTCAGAGACAATAAAGAATTCAGGAAAGGGGTTGGGGTAATGGGGATCAAAGCCAAGTGGGTCTTGGTCACAGGATAGTTTACATAATGCTTAGCTAAAATTTCTCTTAGACTTTTTTGGCAAACCATCCAGAAGATGGAAACACAGCAGGGATCTTATAGACATCCACCTTCATTCTGGTCTGATTTCAGTTGCCGTAGTAATATGGAGAATATTTTATTAAAAAGACTTTAGAGAATTTTCTATTCTTCTTGATAGAATTCTTTCTATTAAAAAGACTTTAGAGAATTTTCTATCCTTTAAAAATATAATTCTATTAAAAGCCTTTAGAGATTTTTAATTAGAAAGACTTTCTATTTAAAAGATGGCTTTAATTCTCAAATTCCAAATTGTTTTCTAAATAGTTATTCCGAACCTCACTACTCTCCTCAAAACCTCTCCCTTCAGCAAATCCCCTGGACTCCTATGTCATGGAGAAATTGAAGTTATCAAGCATACTCTCCACCAGCATCTTGCTTCCTGTCAGCTTTTTTATTGTACATTCCAGTCCACATGTTCATTCATATCTATACCCTGGACTCATTCCCCAATATCTAGGAAGACAAGGTAAACCTTAAGGTATTTCAGAACCAGTAGCTACACCTAACCCACTCCCTTCTGACTCCTTTGCCACTTCTTCATCCACCGTCTCCTTCTTTTCTCTAATATCAAACTCTTTCTTCCCACTGGCTTCTTCTCTTCAGCCTATAAACACCCTCAAGTTGGGCCCATGACAAAAATATCCCCTCTCAACTCCATAACTCATTCTAGCTACTGTTCATCTTATCACCAAACTTTACCTAGAGTATTTTTTTAGTATAATAATCAATCCAATTGATAACTCTTGCGGGCATTTTTAAATTCACTTTTATTGAACCAGAGAAGCTTTAAGCAATCACCCTAAAAGAAATACTCAAAACCATAAAAAAAAACCTGAAAAAAAATTTAAAAACCAAATAAGTACGTTTTGCAGGATTGCAGGATTGCAGGATAGGAGGTCAATACATAAAAATCAATTTTATTTCTAGACACTAACAATGAGCAATCTAAAAATGAAATTAAAAAAATGTTATTTTTAATAGCACTAAAGGATAAAATATGTAGAAATAAATTTACCAAAAGGAGTATAATATTTGTATATTGAAAACTCTGAAGCATATTTGAAAGAAATTAAAGAAGCCTAAATAAATGGAATGAGTTAAGACTTAATACTGTTAAGATAGCCAAACTTTCCAAACTGATCTGGAGATTCCAGGGAATCTACTTTAAAATTTTATTTGCTTATTTGCAGGAATTTAAAAGCTGATCTTAAAAATCATATAGAAATGCAAAGAAACCGGAATAGTCAATCTTGAAAAAGAACAATGGAGTTGGAGGACTCACACTGCCTGATTTCAAAACTTACTACAAAGCTATCATAATCAAGACAGTGTGGTATTGGCATAAGAGTAGACACATAGATCAGCAGGATAAAATGAGAGTCCAGAGATAAACCCTCACATTTATGGTTAAGTGATTTTTTGACAAGAGTGTCACAAGATTCAATGGGGAAAGAAGAGTCTTTTCAACAAGCGATGCTGGTACAATTGCATATTCGAATGCAAAGAATGAAGTTGGAACTTTAAGTTTCAGCCCTGCATGTTAAGAGCTTGGAAGTCATCACTCCCGATCTTACAATAAGAGGAAAAAAAAGAATAAACTAAAAGTCAATCACTTTGCTCAGATCCATCAGGGAACTGAGGTTTCAGGGCAGTCATTCCAAAATCTGGACAGGTAGTCGAACCCAGAGAGTCACTCAGATCTGCTTACCTGGAGAAGGAATCACTATTGCCATAAATTGATAGGAAAATTAAAATGGTAACTTTGACAAATTGCTGGACGCTAAGTGTGGACTAGCCTGAGAGTGAGAAACCCATGGAGGCCTCAGTCATACAAGGCAGCACTACACGTTCATGGGCTTTACCTCTAGGAACCCCACCAGGTTTTCACAGTGAGAGCTAAGAAAACTCTCATGGCTCTAGCAGGTGGTAGAAAAAGTTCCCATTTTGAAATAACTCTAGAACATGCACCATAACCAAGGCCTACTTTGCAGGGAAAAGATTTTACCAGAGCCTTACCCCACCTGGGGAAAGTATATTTTCCTGCCTCCAGCCCCCTATACACTTCCTGTCTTATCAAAGTGAAGGGAGCTATGAAACACTTGTGAAGTTCTCGTGCCAGGGACCCAGGCACACTAAAACATTGATATTTAACCATAAAATTGTAGACTGTTTTCCCTCCCTGACTTTACCAGCCCATCAATAGGGCTCTAATATAAAGATATTCAAAATGGAAAATTACAGACCAATATCTCTCATGAACATAGAAGCAAAAATCCTTTAAAAATATTAACAAATCAAATTCAATGATGTATAAAAAAGAATTACAAATCATGACCAAGTGGGATTTATTCCAGGTATTCAAATCCAATTCAACATTAAATCAATATAACCCATCACAACACTGAATATAACCTAACACCTCAGCTAGCTAAGGAAGAAAAAACATGATGATACCAATTAATGCAGAAAAAGCACTTAACAAACTCCAAAAGCAATTCTTGATAAAAACTCTCAACAAAATAAAAATAAAGATGAACTTTCTCAACTTGAAAAAGAACAGCTACCAAAAGAAAGAAAAAAAAATGTTAACATCATACTGAAAAACTGAATTTTTTTCCCATAAAATTGTATACACAGCAAGAATGTCTCTCACTATTCCTACTCAATGTTGTACTGGAAGTCCTAGCTAAAAAACCTATCTGCATGCACAGATGATATGATTATCCATGTAGAAGATCCCAAATAATCACCAAAACAATTTCCTGGAACTAAAAAGTGATTATATCAAGTTTGCAGATTACATGACTGATATACAAAAGTTGATGCTTTTTTTATATACTGATAAAATGCTATTTATAATAACACTGAAAAATGAAATAAATCTAACAAAATACGTATAGGGTCACCATGCAAAAAACTTCAACATTCTGATTAAAAAAAATCAAGGATCTAAATGAATGCAGACATAGTCCATAATTATGGATTGGCAGACTTAATATTGTCAGTTTTTCATAAATTGATTTATAGATTCAATATTAACCCAATAAAAATCACAGCAAGCTACATTATGGGTACCAACAAACTGACTCTAAAGTTTATACGAAAAAGCAAAAGACCCTGAATACCAAACACAATATTAAAGAAGAATAAAGTCAAAGGACTGAAATTTCCCAGCTTCAAGACTTACTATGATGCTACAGCAATTAAAACAGTGTGGTACTCGAGAAAGAATAGACACATAAATCACTGGAATGGCATACAGAGCCTAGAAATAAACCCACACAAATAGTCAAGTCTTCTGTGACAAAGAAGCAAAGGCAATTCCATGGAGAAAGAATCATCCTTTCAACAAATGTGCAGGAACAATTGGAAGTCTACATGTAAAAATGTAAAACAAGACATAGGCTGCGAGCAGTGGCTCATGCTGTAACCTCAGCAGTTTGGGAGGCTGAGGTGGGCAGATCACTTGAGATCAGGAGTTCAAGACCAGCCTGGCCAACATGGTGAAACCCTGTCTCTACTAAAAATACAAAAATTAGCTAGGGGTGGTGGTGAGTGCCTATAATCCCAGCTACTTGGGAGGCTGAGGCAGGAGAATCTCTTGAACCCAAGAGATGGAGGTTGCAGTGAGCCAAGATCATGCCACTGCACTCCAGCCTGGGCAGCAGAAAGAGAATTCATCTTAAAAAAATAAAATAAAACAAGACATAAACCTTAAACATTTTTAAAAAATTAACTCAATATGGATTAGACATAAATGTAAAACACAAAACTATGAAACTTCCAAAAGAAAATATAGAAGAAAATGATAGGTTGAACTTCATTAAAATTAAAAGTTTCTTCTTTGCAAAAGACCTTTTAAGAGGATGAAGAACCATTCACAGACTGGGAAACAATATTTGCAAAACACATATCCCTAGCCCAGTCTAAAGGCATATATCCCTACTCTAATCATAATAAAAACATCAGTTAAATCCCAACAGAAGGACACTTTATGATGTCCTACCACTACTCCTCAATACTGTTGAGGTCATTAAAAGCAAGAAAAGCCAGAGAAACTGTCACAGCCAAAGAAGCCTAGGGAGACATGATGACCAAATGTAGTGTGGTATCCATGATGAGATCCCAGAACAAAAAAAAAAAAGCAGATTATATAAAACTTAGAAAAATCTGAATAAATTATGGACTTCAGTTAATAATAATTTATCACTGTTGGTTCATTAGTTGTAACAAATATACCACACTAATAGGGGAAACGTAGCATATATGGGAAATCTTTGTACTATCTTCTCAATTTTTTCTGTAAATCTAAAATTTCTAAAAAGTAAAGTTTATTTTTTTAAAGTAAAGTTGGACCACTTTCTCACACCATGCCAAAAAAAAATACTCAAAATGGATCATAGACCTTCATGTAAAAGTTAAAACTATAAAGCTTTTAGAAAAAAATATAGAAGTAAATCTGTGTAACCTTGGTTTCTTAGTGGTTTCCTAAAAATGACAATAAAAGCATAAGTGACAAAAGGAAAAACGACATAAATAGGACTTCATCAAAATTATAAAACATTTGTGCTTCAAAACATAAGATAAAGAAAGTAAGAGGACAAACCAAAGGATGGAAGAAAATATTTGCAAATCATATATCTGGTAAAGGACTTGTAGCCGTAATAAAAAATTATTACAACTCAAGGATGAAATGACAACCCAGTTTAAAACTGGACAAAGGACACGAACAGATATTTCTCAAAGAAGATTTACAAATTGCCTATAAGCACTCAAAAAGATGCTTGACATCATTAACCATCAGGAAAATACAAATTGAAACCACAATGAGATATTAATTCATATTCACTGGAATGACCGTAATTGAAAAGACAGATAATGTGGATGTGGAGAAGCTGGAACCCTGCTTCATTGCTGATGGGAATGTAAGATAGTGTAGCTGCTTTGGAAAACAGTCTGCATTATAGAACAAATGTCCTTCTCTGTATTTTTACCCCCACTTCCCTATCTAGCCTGGAGTCCTGCAGTGGCTCTGACTGTCCTCCTGCAGTATTATCCAATAATTTACTTAAGACCTCCACTGATACACAGGCATGGTGGCAGTAGAAATCCAGTCTATCAGCTTGTCTCTCCAAATCTGATCATGACCATCCTTCTTCCTTGTGAGGAGTGACTTGTCTTGTATCCTATAGATCAGGGGTCCCCAAGCCCAGGCCACAGACGAGTACCACTCTCTGGTCTGTTAGGTTCCAGGCCACATAGCAGGAGGTAAGTGGCAGGCAAGCCAGCATTATGGCCTGAACTCTGCCCCCTGCCAGACCAGCAGCGGATTACATTCTCATAGGAGCATGAACCCTGTTGTGAACTGTTCATGCTAGGGGTCTAGGTTGTGCACTCCTTATGAGAATCTAATGCCTGATGATCTAAGGTGGAACAGTTTCATCTTGAAACTATCACCCCCACACCCCAGTCCCATCTCACTCCCGATCCCCATCCGTGGAAAAACTGTCTTCCACAAAACCAGTCCCTGGTGTCAAAAAGGTTGGGAACCACTGTTACAGATGAACTAGAAGTTCATATGTGATGATAATTCTTAAAACAAGCCCTCTTATTCTTCAATTGCCTTGCACAGAATAGGGTGGAAGTGCTGGAAGTTCTTGCCTTTTGGATTCATTTATGTTTTACTTGTCTTTGAAATTCCATAGAAAATTTATGTAGAATTGTATTTCATTTCTTTGTACGAGTATATGTATACATTTGCGTATATTTATATTTAGAAAGTAATTATTCATGGAGGAGAGAGGAAAAGGTCACATTCTAATTCTGTTACCTATTCATGTTTCAGGGCCCACATCTAATGCCACTTACTCTTACTGCATGAAGACTTTCCTGATCCTTCTAGCCAGGTGTCTTTTTTTGTCTTATTAAACCTCCAAACTGCTTTGCACATCTTTTTCCTTGCTTGCTTGGTTTCATTTATTTTAGGAATTCATAATGTTATTAACCTTAATGTAAACTCTTTTACTAGCAACTGATTAGATAGAATATATGTAAGCTGTCTAATACTTAGACACTTAACATAAATGATTGTATTATTGTATAATTTATAAATATAAAATATATTTATATTTATAAAATATAATTATATAAATATTGTATAATGTAAGTGATTGTACTATTGTATAATTTTATCTTCATATCTTATTGCTCTAATTTCAATAGAAGCTCTTTAAGAATGAGAACTGTGTTTCGCTTTTCTGTACTGTTTGAGAATAGCTTAAAAAGCAGTGCTGAGTGAATGAATGAATGAATGAACCCGCTTAAGATTGTCTTTGTAGTGACAAGGGAGCCGTTGGAGGGGCTACTACAGTTCCAGTTGTTATCATTGCCCTAACAGCATTATCTTGGTCCTGGACATCGTCCTCCAAGGAAGGAGGGTGGTAGAGTGGAGAGTGGTCCAGAAAATGGGAAGCCTGGTGTTTGGTCTTGAAACTGCCACCAGGTAGCTGCGTGACCTTGGAGGGCTCCACTCTCTCTGAGCCTTACATAGCCATAAAATGAACGTTCCTTTCAGTTCTAACGTTCTAGGATTCTTGAAACTACTGGTCCTTATTACAAGAAAGAAACAAAGTACCAAAATAAACTTGGGATTGAGCAAATGACTGTTTCTGTTCTCACACCCCAGTAATAGCCAGCACCTCACTGAATGCCTACTATACGCAGACACTGTTTTAAGTGCGTCACTTCTATTGACTTATTTATTCCTATAGATAAGACTTTTATTCCATTTTCATATGAAACATATAAAAGCTATGTGACTTACATGCTTGTTGGCAGAGCCAATTTTAGATCCAGACACTCTGGCTCTAGAGGCTGTGCTCTTCATCTCACTGTTTCTCCAGGGCATACGAGTGGCGCCAGCCTTCTCTTCTGTCCCCAGAGCCCCTGGCCTTAATTTCATCACCATACATCTCATGAAAAGATCAAACCCTTGTTTCAGTATGAAGTGATAATTCCAAAAGATGTTGTGAGAGAACACAGTCCCCCGGAAAGCAAAGAGATATTTGCTGATGACTTCACTTGGGGCAAGGGCCTTCGTTTTATTTGACATTACGGGTGCTGAATTGGGAAACCAAAGTGTGGAAAGGCTTCTGACCTGACTTTTGGAAAGAATGTGGCTCTTTTCTCAAACCCTCATCAAACACGAGGTGGAAAGGTGAGCCCTGTCATTGCAACATCACCTGTTTTCCTTCTGCCCAGAAGGTTCTGCTTCATTTGATATTAGGGAAGTCTTCCTCTATTTGTCAGTTCTTCCTCAGGAACTGTAAATCCAGGAGCCATGAGGGCACTGCTTCCCCTTTCTCTACCACAGCTCAGAAGGATATCAGCTAGGAAAAGCCTACTGAGATGGTTAGGCAGGCCTTTTAAACCTGGGTCAGGAAGAATAAGTAAACAAGGGAGTTTCCACCATAGGAAATGTGTACTTTGAGTAGCAAAGTAACCAGTAAGATAAAGATGACTAACAAAGATTGTGATCTGCATTCAGAGCTGCTGGCCTTCCTGCTTTTCCGGCCAGATGTTTCCCTCTCATTCTTTTATTCTTCTCTCCTTACCTTCTGTTTGCTCCCCTCAGTTTCTCTCTCTCCACCTGACTTTTCTTCCCCAAGTACCCACAAGACTATGTTATTGCCGTCTTTTCCCTTCCTAGGTCATCAGGGAAAAGAGCCTCATATAAATGCATATAAAATATTCTGAATACCTACATATGTATAGCAGGCATTTGCACTTTGATTATCCATACACTCATTCATTCATTAGACGATTACTCAGTCCTGTTCAATACCAAGTCTTAGCTGTCCACCCCCTACCTCCCCAGACATAAGGTATCTACCTTAGGACAGATGTATTTTGGTATTTCCCCAGGGATGTTGGTTTTGGCTAGAAAAGGCCCAAAGTAATATAAATTAGGGCATATGCTTGATAGCTTATCATTGATTATGGATTTAGAGTCTGGTAGAAACCAGGCTTACAAATTACAGCCTTAGGGAAGCCAGCTGTTTGGGAAAACTAGCAAAAACAAAAACTCTCCTGTTGGGGGCTTTTATTGGCCTTTCTGAAATTCTCTCTTTGAGTTCTGGGAAAAACTCAATCACAGGCAGGAACCAAAGAGTGTTTAGCTCTCAGTAGCTCCTCTATGTTCATTGAAGAATTCCCTATAAGCTTGGGAAATGTTTCCAGTGCCAACCCATTAATGAATGGCGCATAGAGTATGAAGAAAGTATGATTATTAAGAATTACATAAGGTTTTCATCATTCTAAGCAAAGTATCACAAGGACAGAAAACCAAACGCCACATGTTCTCACTCATAGGTGGGAGTTGAACAATGAGAACACATGGACACAGGGCGGGGAACATCACAAACCGGGGCCTGCCATGGGGTAGGGGGGTGGGGGGAGGGATAGCATTGGGAGAAATACCTAATGTAAATGACGAGTTGGTGGGTGCAGCAAGCCAACATGGTACATGTATACATATGTAACAAACCTGCATGTTGTGCACATGTACCCTAGAACTTAAAGTATAATAAAAAAGAGAGAGAGAGAATTATATAAGGTTTTGGAACAAAGATGTCCCAAAACATGCCAAGCCAAGACATGGCTTTTGACCAAGAGTGTTATTCCATTCTGTTTATCATATATTCATTAAGTGCCTCCTGGGTACCTAGCATGGCTAAGGTACATTCCTAGCTTTTTGGGTACTTCCAGCCAAGGTGGGGAGTCTAGGCAGGGAAAAATCAGATGATAGATTGCAGCATGATAAGATGGAAATAGCCGTCGATTTGAAATGCCAAGACTGGTTATGGCGATGAGTTTTGCCACTTGTTATCTGTGAAACCTAATATAAAACCCAGTTCAGAACTGTTATAAGGATTCTCTTTGAATATTATGTAAATTAATAAATAGAAAAAAAAACCTTTTTATGGATTTTAGAGAAGAATGCAAGGCAGAGCAGAATTCCTTGTCAAGTTTAATCCAATCCCATGGGATAAGCCAGTGTTTTGCAAACAAGTCGCCACCTATTAGTGGGTCATGAAATCCATGTAATGGGCAGTGAACAGTGTTTCTTATTGTTTTTTTAATATAAAATTGAACAGAATAGAAAATAGAGTGCAGCACATGTAATATGGGTAAATTTTGTTTCAGATAATTTTTGTCTCTATTACACATATTTTGTATACTCTATCGTAATGGGGAAAAGATTTATTACAATGCATCACTTTCAAAAAGTTTGAAAAACGCAGAGGAGACAGCATGCCCTTCCTATTCCAATGTTCCTAAGACTATTTTGATTCAGCCTTGCTACCTGCCTAATGCTTTAATAGTTCAATCCAGTATTGAAACGTATCTCAATTGATCCATTTCTTAGCTCCAAGGGGTAATATCCATAGACATCTTGCTCTCAAGGACCTAGCTACAGAAGGAGGATGGTCAGAAACAATGACAGAATACTAAGAATATTTAAATGTCACACCAGGTAACAATTAATTACTCCTCAGTAACAAAGACATCACAAAGGGGAGATACAGCTGGGATCCTAGAGATTTCCAGGAGGTTCATTCAGAGCAATTCCTAAAGAATTTGGCTCATGGAGAAACAAAAGAGAAAGAGCCAGAGTACAGGACAGAGTCTGAGCCAAGTGGGGAGTGTGGTCTGTCTGTCTGGCCTGTCACTATGCACGGTAACTATAGACCAGGGAAGAGGGAGAGGCAGAAAGTAGAACAATGTAGAAAATCTGTCACCCCAGACTTGCTGTATTTGTATTCTTGATGTACTGTGCTTAGTGTGAACTTTTGCCACTAGGACATTCTTACAGAAACTTGATATCTGCACTGAGGAGTTATCAGTGACACATCTTGCCTGAGTAGCTTGGTGTGGCTCCACTATCAAGACACTGTAAGGCAAGGTGGGTCTCTGGGGCAATATTGAAGGCTCTGTCTGGGTCAGGGGTAAAAGTCATGTCACAGACAGAGAAGAGTAAGGTATGAACCTGATCCTCCAGTTGTCACAGTAAACATCTTAATTAAGGAGTTTCGGGGGGTCCAGGGATGGATTTCAGTAGCTGAGTAACCTCTTGAAGTTCTGTGCAAAATTTTCTGGGCATTTGTAGATTTCTATAAGAGGTCGTTAGCTCTTACCAGATGATCAAAGAGCTCTGTGGTAAAAAAAAAAAAAAAAAAAAAAAAAAAAAAAAAGAAAAAAAAAAAAAAATTTAATGATTAGTTTCCTCCACTGTAATTTTGCCATTCTTGTAGTAAGAAGAATAGTCATATAACCCTGGATGAAAAGGAGGAGAAAATCTTTAGAGTGACAGAATCTACCTTCCATATGGTTTACTGCCCCAATATCAACTAAACAAGTGCTCAGAGCAGATTCTCAGCATCACAGTATCACCACTTCAATGGGATCTAGAAGTACTTTGACCAAATCTGAGGTCCAACTGATTTCCTGAAAAATGCAGTGTCATATGTTACTCCTTATAAGGTGTGTACAAGATTTCCAATTTCCCTCCGACTGCAGCAGCATGTCCAAAAACAAGTAAGTTGAAAACAATTTGTTGTGCAATGCAGTGAATGTCACTTCTGTCATCGGTGTGGAGAGCATAGATCACCCTGTGGTAGATTCTGTCACCATAACTGCTGCTCTTAAAAACATGGAGAGAAAATACTGGGCTGACTCTCTTATCTCCGGCTGGGCCGTCGTGTATTTTTTTTTTTTTTTTTTGAGTTGGCTTATTGCAGTTCAGAGGCTTATCTTTGCTAATTGTATATTTGATCATATTGTGTCTATACAATCTGATTTTTAAAAATTTGCATCTAAGCAGATCTAGCTTTATTCTTTAAAATTATTGGGCTGTTGTGCTTCTCTTTTGTTGTGGGTAAGACAGTTTTGGGGGGCTTGGGGGGTTTTATTTGTTTTAGCCTCAGAATCACCCCATTGCTGGGAACTTAGGGGAAACAATTTACCTAGAGGAATTGTCCTCTAAGTTCCCAAATAACTTCTAAACAATTGTGTAGTCTAAATCCAGATGTATTTATCAGAAGATTAACTGTCGCCTAATTTCCCATTGTGGCTTACCCAAGTCCAACCAAGATTAATTCCATACATAATTTAGAATTGCTTCTTTTTCTTTGTGTAATAATACCTCAACTTAAAAAAAAAAGAAAGCCACACCATGGGCTTGTTTTAATCCTGATTATTTAGGGTAATACATTTCTTACAGATAATTAACATTAGCAAAATTAATTCATTCACTAAATTCAGTGATCTGACAACAAGTGAAAAAGTTGGGCTTTAGAAAAAGTATGTTGTCCTCTATTTATTCTTTTTAATATTCGAAATTGATAACTGTCTCTATCATAATTGATTCATTACTCATTGAGTAATAAAGGATAGGAAAAATTAACAGTTAAGCACACCAGGTGCATTTAGTTATGTAACATTGATTTTGGAGAGTTGTATAAGATTTGTATTTAAAAAGCCTTGATTGGCTGCTCAGATAATAGAAAATAATATCAGCCAGCTTTATGACCAGCGAAAGTCTAACATGACAACTTAAAAACATCCATTTAGTTTATGATGCTGTATTTCAAATATACATTTAGATGATAAGGGGAAAGATGATGAAAGCTGGCATGGTGGCATTTTTCACATAGCTGAGAAATGATAAATATATTCTACCCTTCATAGCTTTATGTTTCATTGTTATTAACTGATTGGTTCTTTTGCTTAAGAAGTGAGCTGGTGGTCCATGTACCAGAGAGTTTAGATTTCCAATTTGAAACTACTTCATTTTTCTAAATCGCAAAGAATTTCGTTAAAATAAAAATTGTATCTCATTACTGAGTCATAAAAAAGAATTAAAAAGTGGACTCTCTGCCTTTTCTCAGAGTATAACAAAGTTTTATAAAGTGTAGAGCTAGAACAAATTTCACAAGACACAATGCAAAAGCATTCTCTATGTTAAGTGTGACCCAACAGATAGTAGAAATTGCTAAAAACCATCTACTGCACTAAGATGTGAAATTTTTTCCTTTGTTATTTAGTAAGTATTTTGTTTTACTTTATTGTAGCAAGAACACTTAACATGAAATCTATTTTCTTACAAATTGTAAGTGTGTAATGCATTATTGCTGATGATAGGCATGATGTTGTACAGCATATATCTAGAGATGATTCATCTTGCCTTACTGAGACTTTGTGCCTGTTGATTAATAACTCCCCATTTTTCCTTTCCCCAAGCCCCTGGCAACCACCATCCCTACCCTGAATCTATGAATTTGACTATTTTATATCCCTCATTAAAAGTAGAATCATGTTGGATTTATCTTTCCATGTCTTGTTTTAATGTCCTCAAAGTTCATCCATGTTGTCACCTATTGTAAAATGTTCTTTTTTTAAAGCTGAATAGTATTCCATGGTTTGCATACATCACATTTTCTTTACCTGCATTCATCTGTCAAGACAATGAACATTTAGGCTGTTTCTACATCTTGGGTATTGGGGAAAATGCTGCAATGAACACAGAAATGCAGATATCTCCTTGAGATCCTGATTTTAGTTCTTCTGGATGAATACCCAGAAGTAGGATTGATGGGTTGTACTGTAGCTCAGTAAATGTTTTTAGATTTGCAAATGAAATATGTGTGTGTGTATTTGTGTTTGTATACAGAACTTTAAAAAAGTGACCTGCAAATAATTCTCCAACTTGTTTTTATTAATCCTTTAAAATACATGCCAGGTAAAAACTATACTCTGAAATATCAACATCCTGTTCAAATCCAACTGTGCACCCAGGAAGCACTCCTATCAATGCTGTGCTTTAATTCAAAGGATGCTCTTTCTATGGAACAACAGACTTACCTTGGATAAGTTTCATTTATCACTTCTTATAGGTAGCTGGGGCTTGAGAAAAAGACAAGTTATAAATGGCCAATGAGAACTGACATGTTTTAGTGTTAGTTAACATCTCTGTCAACCAAGAGGTGATGAAATATTTGTCACCGAAAGTGAGGAAGATAGTTGTGTCCCACACTCAAGACACAGAAGATAGAAAAGATTTGTTCAACAAATTCATTCATTCAGTCATTCAGCAAGCATGTCATATTTGAGATGTTTGTGGGGCATCCAGGTGGAAAGGTTTTGGTGTGCCTGGCACTAAGATGACAAAAATGAAAAGGCGTTGCCTTCAGTTTTAAGATGTTCATAGTAACGGATAGATGGACGGCCAAGTGAACAGTTATAGTAAAATTAGATATTACCACACTGGAAATACATTCAAAGCCCATGGGTAGCATTCGGAGCAGCAACTAAATGTGCCAGGGACATCAGGGAAGGCTAGAGAAGATTTTAATTCTGTTTTTCAAACTAATGGGAAGGAACCATTCCAGGCAGACATAGGCATCATCCTGGACTCAGAGCCGTGAGCGAGCGTGAAATATTCAGGGGACCACACAATGATTTGTGTAGCTGCAACTGGAGCGCAAGGAGACTATTATAATAACACAGGAGAGCCATGTTCACATCTGAGGCAGTAGAGAAGGGTTGGAGGAGATATTTAAAAAGCATACTTCTTAGCCTTAATGATTGATGGGATGCAGTAGTAAAAAAAAAAAAAAGGGGAAAAGACTATGATGACTCTTAGGTTTCCGGCTTGGACATATGAAGGACAGCAGTACCATTTACTAATACAAGGAAGGAACACAGGGAAGAGACTTATTAAGAGTCAAGGGTAGGTGAGATGATGTATTCAGTTTTAAACACTTTGTGTTTAAGATGCCTCCAAGACATCAAATTGGTTGGGTTTGTCCATTATATTTGTTAGGTGAGGAGCTCAGAGAAGGAAACTGAGCTGAAGCTATAAATGTGGAGCTCTCAGCATAGAGGTAGAAGTTGAAGCCACAGAATAGGTGAAATAAAGAGTAACAAGGACAGAGCCCGGGAGAAGACTGATGTTTAAAGAAGAGGGAGAGCAACAGTTGTAAAGCAAGCTGCAAAGGTCCTGCATGCAAGACGGCAGGAGGACTAGCAGAAAGTGATGACATGAAACCCAGTGGAGAGAAGGGCTTCGAGAAGTATGCAATGCACATCAGTGTCAAAAGCTGTAGGCAGGTCAAGCAGGATAAAGATTCAGATGCTGCCCCTGGGTTTGTTCAATGAGCTCTGGCAACATTAATAGGACAGTTTCCACGTTTTTGAGTGATGGAGAGGGCCTATACTGGATTGCATTGAGCTGAGAAGTGAATGGAAGTGAGAAAAATGGAGACAACGTGTGTGATCTACATTTTGGAGAAGTACATTGTGGGAAAATTCAGGAGGAATAAAGAGAGGAGTAGCTAGTGATTCAGGATGAAAAAAATATTTTTAAGGTAGTAGGGATTTGACAAGATTCATACGGAAACAACATAGCATGCTTTATATGCACTGTTCTAATCACTTTATGCATGTTTTCCTAGTTAATCCTCAGAATGACACTGACAGATAATAATGATATTTAATATCTATTGGGTACTTAATGTATGACAGACATTGTTATAAGCACTTTACATTTATTTCTTCACTTAATCCTCACAAGCCTTATGAAGTTAGTGGTATCATCACCCCCACTTTGCAGGTGAGAAAACTGAGGAGCAGAGAAGTAAAGCTGATCTCAAGGGCTTACAGCCAAGTAACAGCAAAATGGAACCAAAAACAGCCAAAATGGAA
Source organism: Homo sapiens (assembly GCF_000001405.40). NCBI lineage: Eukaryota > Metazoa > Chordata > Mammalia > Primates > Hominidae > Homo > Homo sapiens. Next base: position 21,063,191 of record NC_000002.12, on the reverse strand, counting down.
CCAAAGATCTGGTTTCAAAATCTGTGCAGTAACAAGATGGTTCTTATTGACCTTTTAAAGATGAGAAAACGGATTCTAAGAAATTAAACAATTTGCGCCTATTGCCACCCCAATCACTGAGACCTGAAACAGAATGTACACCCAAGCCTAATTCCAATGCTTGGAATGACCATGTTGCCAACAAGCAGAATCTGGAAATAGGAGAGAGAGGGCACAACACGTGAAATAAGATCCTTCAAAAGCAGGAGGGAGAACAACACAGGCAGAGCAATTAGTCTGTTGTCTGAAACACGTCAGCAAATCCAGGAATATACAAATCACAGGATGGAAAGAAACCCTTGGAGGCCAACTTGCTGCCCTCTTAAAACACCACAAGCAGAGCCAGACAGGTAAAAGGTATCTGTCTCTGCCCAGGAAAGAAGTTCCCAGCCCAGGGAGAGGTGGGAAGAGTAATGGAAATAATAAACTATAATTCATAACTTTTTTTTGCTGTCACTCATCACTTGTGACTGCAAAAAGTTCTCAATCCAAATAGAATAGGTTCCTGCCTCCTCATGCAAACACCTCTCTCTGCAGGCTCTCAGAGTACCAAGGAGATATTTACTCCATCATCCTCACCACAAAAAAAAAAAAAAAAAAGGAGAGGAGAGATGCAGGGTTTGATATATCCAGTGGAACTGCCGCTGACAGACAGCATTCCAACTTGACTTTACTCCCAGGAAAGCCGATGTATTATGGCAAGGTGATGTCTCTCCACTCCACCCTAGAATGTGAGATTCAATTGTTTGGCTGTTTACCCAAATACTGGGGGAAAATAAGCTCCTGAATCCTGAATCAGGAGCAAAGAAGATGCATCAGGATTCTAACATTTTCTTCTACTTACTGTTTGCCTTTCTGACTTTTTTGGAGGGCAAGGATAGTGTCATGTATGTCTTTCCTGTGTGGCTAGCACAGCACCGAGGACTCAACAGGACTCAGGACAGGACCAATGAGATGAGATGAGATGAGATGGGATGGGATGGGATGGGATGGCATGGGATGGGATGGGATGGGATGGGATGGGATGAGAAGAGAAGAGAAGAGAAGAGAAGAGAAGAGAAGAGAAGAGAAGAGAAGAGAAGAGAAGAGATGAGATGAGATGAGATGAGATGAGATGAGATGAGATGAGATGAGACGAATGAGAGTCATGAAAAGAGCATATGGCACATAAACACAAGATGATCTTGCATTTTCTAACTGACCTCTTAAAGAAGCTTTATCTTCAAACCTGAAACTAAGTCTGGAGAAACAATAGGAAGTGGGTCCAGAGAAGTGAGTCAATAGGAGTATCAGTCCCCTCTTCCCTCACATCTCACTGGAGGGATGTATCACTCTCCAACTCGTAGGAAGTTTATCATGTGTAACTCAGTGTAATTATGGCTGGATTTTTTGTTCGTTTGTTTGTTTGTTTGTTTTTGAGGCAGGGTCTTGTTCTATCACCCAGGCTGGAGTACAGTGGCATGATTATGACTCATTGCAGCCTCAACATCCCCGGCTCAAGCCCCTCAGTCTCCCCAGGAGCTGGGACTCACAGGTGCATGCCACGATGCCCAGTTTTTTTAAAAAAACGAAACAAAACAAACCCTTTTTTTTTTGTAACTTTTTATCACCCAGGTTGGTCTTGAAATCCTGGGCTCAAGCACTCTTCCTGCCTTGGCCTCCCAAGGTGTTGGGTTTATAAGCATGAGCCACTGCACCTAATTTAAGAATTCTGTCCCTTACCGGGAACTGTCTGTTTATATGCTTCGCCCACGTTTCTGTTGGTATGGAAATAACAGCTTTTTGTGACAGTACTGTGTGCCTAGGAAGTTGTCCCATGATATATAAATATTCTAAGGTTAAACTAGAAGTTGACAACTATCACTTACTAATTAACATTAGACTTTTGAAGTTAGGGATCCTTATGAGGCAGATGGGGTGAAAGGATACCATCTGGCCATCTATGCCTTATGTTATAACTACTCTAATCTGAGGGTAAATATACCAGCCACACTATTCTAAGTTAGAGTGATTTCTGTTCCCCTTGCAACTATCATATATACCCTTTAGCTATAGAGGATCCCCTATTATTATCATCATTATTATCATTCCTCAGCCCTAGGGTTAACAGAGGAGGTAGCAAGCCCAAAATGGGCAAGTCTAGGACTCAAAGAATTGACACTAAAGCTGGTTCTCAAAACGGAGGTCAAGGTCATAATTCAGAGTGTGAAGTGCAGTTGTTTGTTTGCAGGTTTATGCCAAGAGCATTACTTATTTTAGATTAAACCATAGAAAATTGTCAATGTTCAATAATTTGTGACCTACAAAAAATGGCAATGTCATATATGGTTCAAACTAATAGACAGGTGCTGGCATTTTACTTCCAGAGAAAGTCCACCCTGCTTGAAGCAGAGGGCAACAGAAGAGGAGCTAGCAAGGGTTTGGCAGCGCATCAGCCATGGGAGCTCCAGTAAGTGGAGATGTCCTGCAAACCATGATTTGTGCACACGTTACAATGTAACAATAACAACAATGTACACAGCTAATGTTTGTATAAGTCCTTACCTACTTTTGCCAGATGCTGTTAAGCCATGTTAATTCATTTAATTATTATCACAAGAGTAACTTTATAAGGCAGGGCTGCGCTTATTCCCATCTTTAGAGTGAGGAAACTAATGCATAAGAAAGTCAAGTGACTTGCTCAAAATCACATGACTAATAAGTGCCTAAGTAGGGCTCAAGCCCAGGCCAGCTAGTTTCAGATGCCACAGTTCTGAACCATTGTGCTGCACCACTGCTTTCACAGAGACTGCAGCTGCTGAAGTCAAATAATATACAGAGACAAATCTCCAAATTTAAAACCTTTTATTTGGGAAGCAAGAATTCCAATTCAAGGCAAACACGCAGACTCCCTGGTCTTCCCTAGGTCTGAAGAACAAAAAGAGGATTGGGAGTTTTATCAGAAAGAGAAATATCACATACTGTTTTGAAAGAAAACTCTTTGGCACTAAAGAAGCTTTTGGGAGCTGGCAAGCTCTGACTGGTGAGTGACAGTGGTAGGTAAAATTAGTCTTAGAGGCAGGTTGTTTTAGCAGCTACTAGGCAAAACTGGTCTTAGGGTTACACCAGGCTGTTTTAGCAGCCGGGCTTGGAGAAAATTTAATTCTTGGAGCAGGTGCTTTGTGCCCCAAGTGCTTTTTCCCCTTGGCCCCTGGAGTCTTATTTGGTTCAGTATGACAAGAATGACCCAATTTGTCTAATCAACCTTCACATGTTTTAGGACATGGGACTCAGGGGCTCTCTGTGCACAGTGGAACCAGGTTTAGGACAGGAAGACCCGCTACTGGCTTGACTGATTAGTGAGGAAGAGGTGTCTCATGGGCAGATCCTGTGGGCCTTGGTCTCATGGGCTCAGAGCCCAGGTGGGCAGAGCCTAGACTTGAGCCTTCAATGGCCATCTCCACCTAGAGAGGGTTGGGGCAGGCAAGATGGGCACCACCACTCTCTTCTGTATCTTTTCTTACTTCTTGGGACTCTCTTTTCTGTGTTCCTGTTTTCCCTGTCCTACATCTAAGTGTTTTTGTTTCTGCAGGATTCATCTCTCCATATATAAAATTCCTCACTGAATCTTCCTTTTTATGGGGAATCTAGAATCCTTAACCTGGCATACAAAAACCTTGACAGTCCATAAATATATATTGAGAACGTGTGTATAAGTTGAAATCAGACCCTGTAATGGACATCTTTTGAATGGTATGATAGTATGGTTTTAAAAGAGTTGTGATGGTCAGAAAATAATTAATGTAGAATTCAGAGGGTGAGAGGAGGGAGAATAAAAATTAAAGAATCTTGGCCTACTTAATTAAACCCCTATACTTGGGGGATGAGGTAAAGAAGATTATAGGACACTAAGAGACTTCCCCAAGGGCTGAAAGTCCTTTCTCCCTTGTGAGGGTGCCACAGCTAGATCTGGGAGAGTCACAGCCTTGAGAAGGTTTGGAACAACTGATTGGATTAGTGAATGGGAGGGGCATTTTGTCATGTAGTATTCATCTTCAATGAAACTAAAACGTTGAAAGTATTTCCCTACCATAAAAAAATCACAAAATGATGAATTCCAGCTCTGAATTCCTTAACATAAGAAACTCTCTAACAGACTTTATTGTGAGGGTTTACTTTCCATCCCTGACTGGGGGCTGGGGTCCTGGATACTGGTGGCCGGGGCAGCCCTGCTCATCCCCTACACCATTCAGGAAGTTCAAAGGCAACTCAACTTTCAGCCAAAGCATGGATTTTTTTGATTGGATTGCAAATGCTATCCCATAGTTATGCTTTGGATGATTTTTTATAAATTAACTGAGAAGATTATTACTTGTTTTACATAGATGTTAAAGAGATGAAAGGATAGCCTACCTGAAAAAATAATTTGAAAGCTTCAAAGTTTCTGCAGAAACTGCATTGAAGATATAAAGATACAAAATAAGAAGTAAAAGCAAATTTTGTATAAAATAAGAAGTTGGCATTTCCACTAAAAATGTGAAATTCCACCTAGTAAAAAAAGATATAACATGGACATCTTTAGTAAAACACAAATAGCACAAAAATGTCCATTGACCATTCTGCAAGCATCCAAAGGAATGATTTGCAAAATCTCTCAGAGGTTTGGGGTCTTTTGTAAAAACAGTTCATCTTACTTGGCCACCACCCATGACTCCAGCAGCCACTTTATCTCTCTTAAGGTGATATTTGGTCTTATAGTTTGACTATTTATATAGGTCTTGCTAGAAGTAAACTAAAAGAAAAACATTTTGTACTCATCTTGGTATCCTTGGGGAAGAGTCTGAAGTGGATGTTATGTTTGCACACTGGAATGACCCATACCCATAGAAGAAAGGGAACTGAACGTGAAAGGATATATTGGTAGACAAATGATAATAACTAATACTTATGGACTATTAACCAAGTACCAGCACTGTGCCAAGTGCCTTATCTGTATTAACTTATTTAATAAATACAAAACCCTGTCAGGTAGGTATCATTTATTGTGATCTCCTTTTTACAGATAGGGAAACAGAAGCCCAAGGAATTAAATACCATGCCCCAAATGACACAGCTAGTGAGTGGCAGAACTGAAAAGGCCCCTGGCTTCAGAGCTTGAGTTCCTAGCCACGCTGGTAGTCCACATCCTTAAAAAGAAGAGATGCATGAACAAAGGAAGCATCAGTACCTAGCCCTGCATAAATGGTGGGTATCTTCTGGGTCTGTGTAGGATCCACTTGTTCTATAACAAGAGTAAGCTGCTCCATAGATCACCCAGCATGTGGAAGGCCTGCCTTTCTTCTTATTGCTCTATATGGTTACCTAGAACCAAGTCTGGCTAACAGGATGAATTGACTGAACACATAAAAATCTTTAAAGGCCAAGCGTGGTGGCTCACGCCTGTAATCCCAACACTTTGGGAGGCGAAGACAGGTGGATTGCCTGAGCTCAGGAGATTGAGACCAGTCTGATCAACATGGAGAAACCCAATCTCTACTAAAAATACAAAAATTAGCCAGGTGTGGTGGAACCCCAGCTACTCGGAAGGCTGAGGCAGGAGAATCGCTTGAACCCGGGAGGCAGAGGTTGCAGTGAGCCAAGATTGCACCATTGCATTCCAGCCTGGGCAACAAGAGTGAAACTCCATCTCAAAAAAAAAAAAATCTTTAGAAAGGGAAGTTACAAATGTTTCAGCACATCAGCATGAACCTATACATATCTATTTCATACATGATGTAAATACCAAGTTTTCTTAACTAAGCCCATATCTCCTCTTTCCTTCACCATCCAGGATACGGCCAAGGATGCTGAAATTAACCAATACATGCTTTGTCACTGATTTATTGATTGATTGAGAGCTGGAGGCCACAGTGTGTTTGGTTTTGGCTTTTGAGCCCCAGCTTCATTTATAGGTGCTGACGTCAATACCCTATTCTCAGCAATTAATGGAACCAGCAGACAAAATCAGCAAGGATGTAAAGGAACTCAACAACACCCTCAACCAACAAGATCTAATTGCCATTTGTAGAAAACTACACCAAACTCAGCAGAATACGTGCTTTTTCTCAAGTGCCCATGGAATGTTCACCAATACAGACCATCTTCTGTGCCATAAACAAGCCTCAACAAATTTAAAAGATTGAAATCAGACAGTAAATGCTCTGACCATAATGGAGCCAAACTGCTGTTGAGTTCATCACACTCCTCAGACCACCAATATAATTTTTTTGTCTTAGTTTAATATCATTTTTTCCCAAATATGCTATTATTGTGTCTTTCTTTTTAGGCTGGTTGATGTCAATGATGTCACTTTAAAAATCTCATAAATGAATAGCCAAAAATATTTCTTCCAGTACTTTCCTGAAGAAGCCTAATATCTCATGTAAATAAATCTTTTTCTAATTTATAGTTTTTTTTATAGTGTGTTTCTTTCTTGCAAGGGACACCCTTATATCTCTTGTTTCCCAACAAAATCACTCACAGCATCAAAGCCCTGACCTGCCCTTCCTGAGAAGGCCAAGGTTAGCGGCTATGTTATCTCTTGAGCTAAAAGGATTGCTGGCTTGAAGGTGCGTGGGAGTCGATAGCTCTCTGGAGCCTGCCTTTAATCCCCTAGAGATGCGTTTACTCTGCTAGGAGAAAGATAGCCTCCAAAGAGCAAAAGTCAACAAGCTTTATCGTTCTTCTTCCTGGGTTATTCTGCTGCTGCTGAAAGGCTTTATGAGTGTCCTAGGGCAGTAGTTTTCTGGATTTGTCCTACTCCTGGAATGAATGCCACAGGATTTCATGGTTGTGTGGTCACCAGAGTACAGTACCAAATCTGCCAGTGTTGTGCCCTAGAGGCAACCTCCAACCTTTCTCCACTGCCGCACACACCATGACCAAAGCCCATCTCAGGAAGCACTCAGACACTGGGCAGGCCACATTCGAGGCACTCTCAAGACCATTAGGACTACTGTGCCTGGTCAGCTAGTCAGTTGACAGAATCTTATCAAAGATTTTAAAAGCCTTTCTCAGGAAATACCAGAAGTGTAGACCTATTTTTGTTTGCGGTTCCCGTTCAGCTATTAGGGGCTCAGTTCTGCCCCCCAAAATCCATATATTGAAGCCCTAATCCCCCGTGTGATGGTATGAAGAGATGGGGCCTGTGGGAGGTGATTAGGTTTAGATGAGTTTATGAAGGTAGGACCCTCATGATTGAATTAATGCCCTTATAAAAGATGCCAGAGAGCTCTCTCCCCACTCATCCTCCTTCCATGTGAAGATGCAGTGAAAAGGCAGCTGTCTGAAAGCAAAGGAGACAGCCCTCCTTCTGATCTCAGCCTTCTAGCCTTCAGAACTGTGAGAAAATACATTTCTGTTGTTGAAGCTATTTTGTTAAGGCAGCCCGAGCAAAGTAAGGCATGTGTTGAAACCCTAACCCCAAATGCCTCAGAATGTGACTATATTTGCAGATAGGATCTTCAGAGAGGTAACGAGATTAGAGGAGGTTGTTAGGATGAGCCCTAATCTAATATGACTGTTGTCCTTATAAGGAGAGCTTAGGACACAGACATGCACAGAGGGAAGACCACGTATAGATGCAGGGAGAAGATGGCCATCTATAAGCTAAGGAGAGAGGCCTCAAATGAAACCAGCTTTAATCTCATAGAAGTTAAAAGTAGAACAGAGGATACTAGAGGCTGGGAATGATGGGGAACGGGAAGGATAGGGAGAGATTTGTTAAAGGATACAAAATTACAGCAGGATAGATTTTAGTTCAAGTGTTCTATAGCACCTTAGGATGACTACAGGTAACAATAATACGTTACATAGCTTCAAATAGCTAGAAGGAGAATATTGACTGTTCCCAACACAAGGAAATGATCAATGTTTGAGATGATGAATATGCTAATTACCCTAATCTGATTACATTATATGTATCCCATGTAAATGTACTCCATGAATATGCATAATTATTCTGTCAATTTAAAAAGTAAAATTTTAAATTTTAAAACAGTATTTATCTATAAGCTGCTTATCAGAGTTATAAACACATAGAGTAAAATTAAAAGGATAGAAAAAATATAGTCCCGTTTAACTTATGAATATGTGTATACCAAAAAACCTTAAATATTAAAAACCCGAATCCAGGCCAGGCATGGTGGCTCACGCCTGTAATCCCAGCACTTTGGGAGACTGAGGTGGGTGGATCACCTCAGCTCAGGAGTTCGAGACCAGCGTGGCCAACATGGTGAAACCCCATCTCTACTAAAAATACAAAAATTAGTTGGGTGTGATGGCGGTTGCCTGTAATCCCAGCTACTCAGGAGGCTGACGCAGGAGAATTGCTTGAAGCTGGGAGGCAAAGGTTGCAGTGAGCTGAGATTGCACCACTGCACTCCAGCCTGGGTGAGTGAGACACCGTCTCAAAACAAAACAAAAACAACAACAACAACAACAACAAACAACCGAATCCAGCAATGAGGGGGAAAAAAGAAACCAACTCTGCCAGTACCTTAATCTTGAACTTCCAGAATCCGGAGCTGTGAGGAAATCAATGTCTATTGTTTATGCCGCCCAGTCTGTGGTACTTTGTTAAGGCAGCAAAGTAGTGAATTCCACATCTGCCATCATCCCCGTTCATAAAATAACTCAAAAAACCAACGAATTCAGAGGTATTGGGACAACAGATGGCAAGGGTGAGAAAGAGGAGGAAGAATAGGACAGACCACCTTCCTAGTGAGGGTGGAGATTGCAGCTGAGATTTGGTGGTGGGGCGAGAGAAAGAGAGAGAGAGAGAGAGAGAGAGAGCTGTGGAGAGAGAAAGAGAGGAGAAAGGGAGTGAGAGATGGGGGTGAGAAGGAAGCGTTGTCAGGAGGGGAATCAGGCTCAAGACCAGAGCTGACCTGCCCTGAGGATGGGGCCGGTCCTCAGTGAGGCAGGCTCAGAAGCTGCCTGTGCCACCTGACTCTCCCACCTTTCCGCCTCCCTCCTTTCAGGAAGGCTCTTACTTTTCTGACCAGTAAGGGAGCAAATAGCTCATCTGACTTCTCACAAGGAGACACGGCGATGTTATTAATGAAGTGAGAAAGAAGTAATTATCTGGATAATTCAGGCATCCATCACCACTTTCAACTAAATTGTCCAGGCTGAAAAGGTGCAAGAGTCAAGAGGAAAAGAATGATTTTAATTAATTGCCTCAATTTACCATTTTCTATTGGATTTGTTCAAATTAAATGACTGAGCTGGCCTCCAGCTTTGCCCAGGGGTCAGCAGTGGTGGAGAAGGCCATTGGCCAGTGTTCCCCAAGGGACTCCAGTGCCAGGGCCTGTTCCAAATGAGCGACAGACACATCATTTCATACCAACTCATTTTCAGAGGTATTTTCTGAGTGTGATGCAGGATCTCACATTCCAGATTGTTAATCTGGTAGGATCAGCCATGTAAAGCCACAATTTGGACATGTGCAGGATAAGTATTAAAAAACAACTGAGATGGCTGAGCCCAGCTTCTTGTTTACCTACTTGGGGAAAATGCACGAAGACATTTAGAAGGGAAAAATTGTAATAAACAGCATTTACATTAAGAACACATCCAAACAGCAGCAAGCACAGGTATTTCCGTATGTTTATGCTTTTCCCTAAGCGCATTTCTTCAGAAATCTGGATACTATCAAAGGCAGCCCCTAGGAAATGCCTCTAATTCCCATCTCCTTCTCTGGCAGTGAATCGCTGTGATATTTTCGTGTTGCCTCTCCTCCCTGGGAGCCCACCGAGGCTCAGAACCCCCTCCTGCCTTATTTCTCTAACAAATGCCATAAAGAATCTCAGGTTTCCTAATCCTCTCATTGAGATTCAGGACGGTGTAGTATGAGCTGCATGGGATATAAAGTCAAAACACCTGAGTTTGAGTTCTAGCTCAGCTATTTATATGCCAGGTGATCCTGGAAAGTCTTTTAACCCCAGGGAGGTTCAGGTGCCTCACCTGTGATGTGTAACGTAAAACTCACAGCTACCAGGATTAAAAGAAATAATGGAAACCAAAGCCCTTTACAAATCATAAAGCGTTGTGTGACTGCAGATCTTGCTAATAAGACAGTAGCTTATTTCTCCAGATAGAGGGCAACTCATGTGCTTACACCAAAGTCACTGAGACTCAATCTTATGTTGGTCATTTGATCTTACATATTCATAACTGCCTCTTCTAGGTACCTGTACTTATATAATGAAGACAATAGAATTTGGTTAGTTATGTAAAACTTAGCCCTGGCTCCCTCATTTGTAAGATGGCTGGTTAAAAAATCTATTTTGCAGATTTTTTGGAATGTAAAATGAGATAATTTATGAAAGTTAACTATCACAATGATGGGTCCGTTTTTTGGTGCTTGAGAAATACTAGGGTTTACAAATATATATATTTACAATGATAGGCCAATTTCCTGCTGCCACTGAGGAGCAGAGATGAAGTATTCACCATCTTCAACATCTGCACACTGTAATTGTTGGTCTGTGAAGGGTGCTATCTCATTTTGTTGGCTTGTTTCTAGTTCCCCATCCTTACTCCGCATCCCCACTCCCAACTCTTATTCTTCTCATTCACACCAAAAGCAATCATTCCAAGGTGCTTGATGTCACTTTTTTAAACTTGTATTTGTTGCTAGTTTTGTATGTTTCCTTATAAAACATGTTAAGCTGTTTTGGATACAGAGGAAGCCTTATGTCTCTAGCCACTGAATACTTTCTTTCTGAATGAAAAGGGAAGAAAGCTTATCAGGACATTACAGACTCTAAAAGAAGCTTGGGATTTCAGCTTCGGAGACCAAGAATATCTCTATTTTTTTCTCTGAAAAGGCAAGGGTTCGGGGCCTGTCCTCTCAGTGACTGGAGCTCTGGTCACTTCTTTGAAAAGCCCCAGGGAGGAACAGTCCCTAATAAGGACTGATTCTGCTCATTGAGCAATAGGGCTGATGTCACCCGCATTGGGAACAGGTCACGCCCTATTAGCAAGGAGGCAGAAGAGGTAACTCAGGGCCACTTACAGGCTCACAGAACCTGAAAATTTCTAACAGCAAGGGGCAAAAGGATTCCTTTATACATGAAAAATTAACTCAAAAGGGATCATAGCCTTAGACATAAGACCTAAAACTATAAACCTCTTAGAAGAAAACACAGGAGTAAAATTCCTTGACCATGTTTTAGGCAATAGTTTCTTGCATATGACACCAAAAGGAAAAGCAACAAAGGAAAAACATTAATTCATCCAAATTAAAAACTTTTGCATTTTAAAGAAAAGTAGAAAGACAACCCACAGAATAAGAGAAAATATTTGCAAATGCTATGTCGGATAAGAAACCTGAATCCAGAAGGCAAAAACAACTCTTACAACTTAATAATAAAAAGTCCAAGCACTCCAATTTAAAAATTCAAAATCCAAAGAATTTGAGTAGACATTTCTCCAAAAGAGATATACAAATTCCCAGTAAGAACACAAAAAGATGCTCAACATCAATAGCCATCATAGAAATGCAATAAAAGCCACAATAAGATACCACTTCACATCCACTAGGATGGGTATAATAAAAACAAAAACAGATAATAACAAGTGTTGACAAGGATGTGGAGAGATTGGAACCTTCATATATTGCTGGTGTGAATGTAAAATGGTGTAGCCACTTTGGAAAACAATCTGTCAGTTCCTCATATGATTAAACATAGAATTACCATGTTACCCAGAAATTTCACTCCTAGATATACATCTAAGAGAAATGAAAGCATGTGTGTACATAAAAACTTGAATGCAGATATTCATAGCAGCATTATTCCTGATAGCTGTTAAGTAGAAACAAAACAAATGTCTATCAATTGATGAATAAATAAAATGTGGCATATCTATACAATGGAATATTAGTCAGTAATAAAAAAGAATAAAAGGCTGCAACATGTATGAACCTTGAAAATATTATGGGAAGTGAAAAATGCCAGTTGCAAAAGACCACATATTGTTTGACCCCATGTATATGAAATGTCCAAAACAGGCAAATCTGTAGAGAGAGAAAGTAACTTAGTGGTTGCCTAGGGCTGGACAGGTAGGGAACTTAAGGGGTGATGGCTGATTGGTACCAGAGTTCTTTGGGGGGTGATTAAAATATTCTAAAATTGATTGTTGTGAATCCATTAGCATATTCGCAGATAAGTGAATATACTTATCTGTGGCCTCTGCAGGGTGGGCCTTAGAACACCTAAAGGTGGCCATTATTTTTTTTAAATGACTCTATTAGAAGTTAAGTGCACCACTAAAAAGAGAAAACCAAGAAATTCCTGATACTAAATGGCCCATTTCCACCCACTTTCTTCTTTGGAGACCAAGTAACCTAAGCAGTCTGGGCTCTGGCAATGGCCTGAGGCCTCTCCATGCTATCAGAGAGGGAACAACATACAGATGAAAACAGTGTCAGGCCATTCTGGTAGTTATTTGGTATTTACTTCAGAATCTAGATAAAGATGGTGTCAGAAAAACTTCCACCTCAGTACTGACCATTCCTGGCTTTCCCTGTGATGGACAGTCTATGCCCCGGATTGGGGACAGAAATAGCAGAGACCTGAGATATGACCACAAAGCACTGATCCACATGTGCAGGCTCCATCTGGCCATCTGTAGATAGACAGGCTGGAGAGGTTTCCCTTCTAGAAACTCTTCACTGCATGCTGCCTAGAACATGATCTAATTTCATAAAATTCCACCAGTTAGGCAGCCTGTTAATGGGTGCCCAGGGATTCTCAGATTGATGGAGAAGAGTTGGATTCAATAACCTTATGGCCCTTCTAGGCCCTGAACCTCTATGATCCTATGTAATGAGTTACATAATCATATTTATTCTAAATACAAACCCACAAAAAAATCAATGAAATTTTTCACTTTCAATAAGGAATAGATTACAAGATGATATGGTTTGGCTGTGTCCCCTCCCAGATCTCATCTTGAATTGTAATCCCCATAATCCCCACATGTTTAGGGAGGGACCTGGTGGGAGGAGATTGGATCATGGGGGTGGTTTCCCCCATGCTATTCTTGTGACAGTGAGTGAGTTCTCACGAGATCTGATGGTTTTATAAGGGGCTCTTTCCCCTTCGCTCCTCACTCGTCTCTCTCCTGCTGCCATGTAAAGCAGGTCTTTGCTTCTCCTTAACCTTATGCCATGATTGCAAGTTTCCTGAGGCCTCCCCCAGCCATGTGGAACTGTAAATCAATTAAACCTCTTTCCTTTATAGATTACCCAGTCTCGGGTATTTCTTCACAGCAGTGTGAAAACAGACTAATACACAAGAGAATACACTGATTTCAAAGATTCTTCTTTTTTTTTTTTTTTTTTAGGTGGAGTCTGGCTCTGTCACCTAGGCTGGAGTGCAATGGCACAATCTCGGCTCACTGCAACCTCCGTCTCCTGGGTTCAAGCGATTCTCCTGCTTCAATGTCCCGAGTAGCTGGGATTACAGGTGCAGGCCACCATGCCTGGCTAATTTTTGTATTTTTAGCAGAGATGGGTTTTCACCATGTTGGCCAGGCTGGTCTTGAACTCCTGACCTCAGGTTATCCACACCCGCCTCGGCCTTCCAAAGTGCTGGAATTACAGGCACGAGGCACCATGCCTGGCCCAAAGAGCAATCTCCAAGCAATTTTATGTAGCCAATGTAGATTTAGTGCAATTAGAGTAGAATGAATAACCTAGATTATAAACTAAAGATCCAAGTTCTCGCCTTACCTCTGCTCTTGTCATGAAAACAAAACAAAACAAAACAAAACTTCTTAGCCTGTCTAGACCCCAGTTTCTCTATAAGATGAGAATATTAGTCACGATTTGGTTTCTAAGATCCTGTCTATGTTTGAGACTACAGATACCTGTTGCTACATTTCCCTTCATAGCTCTGAACAAGGAGAATTCAGCCCAATTCTCATGGCCTTCTACACAATCCAGAGTTTCAGTGCCATATGTACTACATTTAGTGTCAAATTAAGTCAAAGGCTTCATTAGCCTGAAAGCTCTGTCCCTGGCCTGGGCATGGCAAACTGTATCCCCCACTGACCATCCCCCTGTCTCCCTTCTCCCCAGAGACTCCAGTAGCCTGGCGTCATCACAGGGGCCAGACATATCCAACATGTTCCCAGCTTCCTGCCACTGCACTTTCAGTGTGCCTCCCTCTTCAGTTACCCAAATCCTGCCCACCATTCCAGAGCCAGTTCAATCTCACCCATCCAGGACCCCCGAGACCCCCATCGTACCACTATAGTCTAACTGTGGTGTAGACCCCACACTGGGCACATTGCGTACGCTCATTATTGGCTGTGACGTCTGATTATGCCCTTCTCCTGGTCTGGAAGCTCTCGGAGGTGCTCCATAATACATGAAGAGAAGTAGTGCTGGTGTGGGAATAGTGAGGTGTGTTTATCCATCCAGCTATCCGGCACCAGCACTGGTCTCAGCTTTCTGAGGTAACACGTTCTGAGCCTTAGTCTTGAGAGAACATAAAGAAAACTTTTTTTAAAAGTAGTAAAAAGTGGCTGACAAAAGCTGACCAAAAGCCTTTCAAAAGAAATGCTAAGTTATATCTAAGAAAGTTTACCCAAGGTCAGGCAAATATGAAACCTAAAGCTAGACGTGGGGAAGAACTTCCGGAGAGTTGCAATTCCCTGTGCCCCAGCATCCTCAGGAGGGCATGCCCACATCTGATTTAGAAATCTGTGTAAAATGAGTGAAGGGTTCTATTTCTTGGGCAGTGTGGGCACAGGTCTTTGGAGAGGTCGATGGCCTCCCATAAAATCCTTCCTGCTTGATGGTTCTGGATCCTCAGCCACAGCTCCTAATAGCCATGAGGTTTGAGCCCAAAATAATTTATGTGTTTGTTTTTTCAGCCCCAAAATTTCCATAGAATCAAAGTAGTCAGAGCTGAATGGGGCTAAGAGACCGTCCATTCCTGTCTTCTCATCACACAGATGAGGGACTGCCACCCAGAGCCGTAGAAACTGTCCCATGGCCCCAGTTCCCAGACCCTTCCTCTCTCCTACAGCTCCAAGTTCACTGTGCATTCTAAATGAAGATGTAAACATAAGCAGCAACACTCAAGAGTAAAAATGAAGTGTGCATATGAAAGAAACCTATTCACATGGACCATATTACATTATAATCACAGTGTTTACTGCTTGACTACCATCTGCCTGGCCTAGCAAGGGTGTCAGTGAGGAAGAGAGGACAAGGGGTACCAATCTGTGAACTACACATGGTTCTTGCTCTCCCAGCTTCTCTCTCCCATTGGCAAGGCAACAGGTAAACACATGAAAAATCAAATAATGCTATAAGAGAAAAATGTATTCAGGACAACAACAGGTTTGTATGAAGGCCTTTCATCATCGTTGTCCTACCTAGAAACTGAATGACAGGGAATCAGAGTCACAAGCTATGAAGTCTAACTGGGCTGTTCCCAGAGAAAGATTCAGTGCAGTAGGTGGGGCTGCAGCCAGCCCTGGGTGGGTGGAAGGATGACATCCACATAGGCAAGAGGGTGATAATTCACTTACGCAGCTCCTCACTGCACATTGAACCCTGCTGACTTCTGGCTTCTCTCCCGGGAGGAACTGCGACTCAACATTCTGACCTTATCTCTTGGGTAGCAGAATGATGGAGAAGGAAAGTTTCTTTTTGCTTCTCGCAGGGGTTAATCATCCATCTGGAATGCCTACATTTGGTTGACAATGGCTCACCCTATCATCTTCCTCCTGAACCATTCACCTAAATGTGCCATTTCTTTCCTGATAGTTCTCATTTGTGTGTGTGTGTGTGTGTGTGTGTGTGTGCACGTGCTCACACATGCATGCTGTCACTGGGTAAACAGGCCACCCTGGGCACAGTTCCATCTACAATGTTTGAAGTTTACTTTCCAGCTTCTGGGCATCATTTGCAATTATAATGCTGTCATAGGCAGAAACGAGATAGGCTAATTAATCGTTGTCAATACTGATCCCTATTTGCCAGATGAGATTTTGGAGCAGCATGGCTGGGAATAATTGGTATAGACTGTATTTCCTTGCTTTATGTCACTGGAAATATTTATTTAAGCATCACGGTCGCTATGCATAAATATCCTGGAAAATGGGGTATAGCTGAATGGTGCAGATTCATTCATTCATATTCAGCAAATTATGTTCTAAGCACCTACTTCAGTATGTGAACAGCACTAAACTCAGAATATTGGTCTGCTGGGGTCCTTTATTAGCTTCCATGATTCCCTGAACTTGGCCAAGACCCTTCTGGTCGGCTGCAGATAGGCACAATGGATAGTTTTGCTTCTAGATAATGTAACTGGGACATTCAGCATTATCTATCGCCTTGAAATTCCTCTAGTCAGGTGGCTTTCTAATGGGTACCCAGAGCCCTATGACTACCCAGATTGATGGTGCACCCAACAGGACTTTGCATTTATGAGCTGATAAGTCACAGTCACTAGCTGAGATTAATCTGTGTGACACCAGAATGTGTCTCTATCTAAAGGAAAAGGGATGAAGGGTGATATCTTTGGTCACAAGTAATGTATTTCCATGTAGTCTTTGACAAAGGATCTAAGTGGATTTTGTAATTGAAGAAAAATCTATGCACTAATCTTTACAGCATTTCCGTGAGTGTACGCAAGTCAGCTCAACAATTCAACATTTGCTCTGTGGGGTTGTGCTAGACCCTGTCAGGGGATAACTACTGCTGGCTGGGGCCCAGTTCAGGGAAGACTTGCCAAAGACCATCAGGAAAAGAGGGAAGCTGAGTCTTAGGTTTCTTCCTTTAGAGATGGTGACAGTCCTCTCACCACCTCCAAGCATCTCACAATGTTTCCCTGCCTCCAAGTCATCAAATTCATTTTTGATTCCTACTTCATAAAAATTACATTCTCCCAGCACTTTGGGAGGCCAAGGCGGGCAGATCATGAGGTCAGGAGTTCAAGACCAGCCTGATCAACATGGTGAAACACCGTCTCTACTAAAAATACAAAAATTAGCTGGGCATAGTGGCACTCACCTGTTATCTCAGTTACTTGGGAGGCTAAGGCAGGAGAATCGCTTAAACCCGGGAGGCAGAGGTTGCAGTGAGCCGAGATTGTACCACTACACTCCAGCCTGGGTGACAGAGGGAGACTCCATCTCAAATAAATAAATTAAAAAAAAAAATATATATATATATGTATATATTCTCTATGGATGCTGACCATTGGACCCTGGTTTCATCTGCACGTAACAGAGTAAGCTTGGACTTGTGCTTGTAAATTAAAGCTCGACACCTCCTTTTGGCTTCTCTATACCTGAATATTCTTACTCACTCTCCTTAATGTGAATATGCATGGAAGCAGGACCATTTCCTCAAACACTAGCAGCAGCGAACCCTGTGGAAAGTCAGTCCACATAGAATAATTCAAATAAAGTGTTCAGAGAAATGGGGTTTCAGAGCAATTACTTTTTCCAGACCTTTCACAAATCAGTGGTGTAGGTATGACCAGCCTTGAGTTGAGACCTCTGTAATATCCATCTTTAATAACATTAATATGCTGTGGATGAGCAACTGATCACTGGAGGGAGTTTAGCTGCCCATAGGAGTTCATGGCTAATGACAATATCTGAATAAGGACAGGTGTGGAGCCCAGGTGCAGGAAGCAGGCGAAGGTCTTTCTGTGAGTCTCCTCTGAGGGAACTGGGTCTTTATACATAGTTACTGTTTCAGAATTGATCCTTCTGGAATCATCAGTCTTCACCAGTAGCTTGTTACATCTGGGGTTATCTCATAATTCAAACAAAGCTGACAAGTTGTAACAATGAGCACACACTGACTTCTGCAACAGGCGCTGTCCACTTCCCATCCGCACTCTACCGGCTTGCTCCTGGCCGCCTCCCACTCGCCTTCCTGGGTGGTCCCCCAGCAGTTATACCTACCTGGTTGTCGCCCCCTCTATCCTACCACAATTGCTCACTAGCGGTTTCCTGCGTACACAGCTTGTCTCCCTAACCAGAGTGGAGGTGCCTTGGGGACACAGCCAGGCTCAGACATTCACTCAGCTCATCATAGTGCCATCCCATCAATAACCCCTTCTGAGTGATCCTGGGTTAGTAAACCGAGTGTCCCTGAAATTCCACTACCGCTGATTCCCTCCAGCTGGGCAGAGGCAGCGAGCGCTGGCTGAAGCTTCCGGTGGGAAATGGGCAGTGCCTAGAAGAGAAGGAAACGATGCATGAGAAGGTTCCAGATGTCTATGAGGAACATGACGTGTCCTGTCCACTACTCTGCTTTTCCTCGTCCGCCTCCCCACCACTGGAGGAAACCTAGAAGCTGGTGCAGGAAATCCTCCTCTCAACAACCCAAGAACACTTTGCACAAGAGGGGTGCGCCCTCGGAGGTTGCTCTTCCCCAGAGGCCTCTCCTCGCTGGGGTTTCTTGAAGACAGATACTTGGACTCCTGCTGGGACCAGGCAGGCCACCCATCCTCAGGGGCAGTGACTGGTCACTCACCAGACCTCCCTGCATCCCCCTTCTCTCTCCTCCCCCAGCACGGGCTGAACCCCGCAGCCACAGATTCTGATCAGGATTAGGGTGTGGGTGCAAATCCAAGGTCCACCAAAATGGAAAAGAAGTAACCGATGGGAACACGTCTCCACCAAGACAGCGCTCAGGACTGGTTCTCCTCGTGGCTCCCAATTCAGTCCAGGAGAAGCAGAGATTTTGTCCCCATGGTGGGTCATCTGAAGAAGGCACCCCTGGTCAGGGCAGGCTTCTCAGACCCTGAGGCGCTGGCCATGGCCCCACTGAGACACAGGAAGGGCCGCGCCAGAGCACTGAAGACGCTTGGGGAAGGGAACCCACCTGGGACCCAGCCCCTGGTGGCTGCGGCTGCATCCCAGGTGGGCCCCCTCCCCGAGGCTCTTCAAGGCTCAAAGAGAAGCCAGTGTAGAAAAGCAAACAGGTCAGGCCCGGGAGGCGCCCTTTGGACCTTTTGCAATCCTGGCGCTCTTGCAGCCTGGGCTTCCTATAAATGGGGTGCGGGCGCCGGCCGCGCATTCCCACCGGGACCTGCGGGGCTGAGTGCCCTTCTCGGTTGCTGCCGCTGAGGAGCCCGCCCAGCCAGCCAGGGCCGCGAGGCCGAGGCCAGGCCGCAGCCCAGGAGCCGCCCCACCGCAGCTGGCGATGGACCCGCCGAGGCCCGCGCTGCTGGCGCTGCTGGCGCTGCCTGCGCTGCTGCTGCTGCTGCTGGCGGGCGCCAGGGCCGGTGAGTGCGCGGCCGCTCTGCGGGCGCAGAGGGAGCGGGAGGGAGCCGGCGGCACGAGGTTGGCCGGGGCAGCCTGGGCCTAGGCCAGAGGGAGGGCAGCCACAGGGTCCAGGGCGAGTGGGGGGATTGGACCAGCTGGCGGCCCCTGCAGGCTCAGGATGGGGGGCGCGGGATGGAGGGGCTGAGGAGGGGGTCTCCGGAGCCTGCCTCCCTCCTGAAAGGTGAAACCTGTGCCGGTGGTCCCCCTGTCGGGCCCTAGCACCCGCTGGGAAGACGTGGGAAGCTCACAGATTTCTTTCTCCTGTCTTACAGAAGAGGAAATGCTGGAAAATGTCAGCCTGGTCTGTCCAAGTAAGGCATCTGCGCATGGGGCGTGGAAGGGCGCCCAGCCCCGTGCACTCTCCTACACCCGGGTCCCTGAGGGCCTCCCACTCTACAGGGCTGAGATGGCATCGTGGTGTGCCTTGCTCTGACCCCAGGAAGCAAGTTCCCTGAGCCTCTGCCCACACCCAAGGGATGCCAACTCTCTTCTACCTGGCCTTCTGTTCTGTCCCAAAAGTTCAGCCTGGGGGCGGGGGAGGGAAGGGATTGTCTCTCCGCTGGCCTGTGCACACTTTGAAGAAACATCACTGTCCTGTTTATCAGTGACTAGTCATTGATTCGAAGCATGTGAGGGTGAGGAAATACTGACTTTAACCTTTGTGAAGAAATCGAACCTCCACCCCCTTCCTATTTACCTGACCCCTGGGGGTTAAAGGAACTGGCCTCCAAGCGCGACCCTGTGTGCTGGAGCCGCGGGGCGGACTTCTGATGGGGCAGCACCGCCATCTAGTGGCCGTCTGTCATCACTGCAGCTGGACTCAGGACCCAGATGTTCTTTTTCTTCAATTGTTCAGAAAATTCCTCTCAACTACAGTGGAAACCTCCAGAAATTCTTTTCTAGGAGTTTGTTAAGTTAGTTACGCTTAATGCTTAATGAACTTTGCCTTAAGTATTTGGTAGTCTTAGAGTCACGGAATTACGGCGTGTTCAAGCTAAAAAAGCATTAGAGATAGTACTATTTGCGTAATGTTGTCATCTCTTAATTTGCCAGAGGGTCTCTCATGCAGATTTTCTGAGCCCCATTACTTGACACTTGTCACTCCCTTCCCTGTGCCTCAGATGAGATATTCAAGACATGCCAGCCAATTTAAACATTAGCCTCAGCAAAAACATAATGGAGAAGTCAAATCTATAAAGGAAAATTAAGTATAAAGTCAATTAAAAAATAATTTGAGTTGAATTACCATTTTTAATTCTCTATGCCACTGCCCCTCTCTGCCCAGAATTGGCTGTCCTTGGGAGAGCTATTTCTGCTATGTGGCTGACGTATTTCTCCCCACGTTAGAAGATGCGACCCGATTCAAGCACCTCCGGAAGTACACATACAACTATGAGGCTGAGAGTTCCAGTGGAGTCCCTGGGACTGCTGATTCAAGAAGTGCCACCAGGATCAACTGCAAGGTATGGAGGATGCAGGCAGGAGGGACCTAGAGCCCACAGCTTTCCCCCAGCCCTGTTCCAGCGGGCGCCCAACACGCGACCTTCCCGGAGGGTGTGTACTGAGCAAACGCAGAACATCCCAGAACTGTTGTAATCTGATCAAAGCACTGGGACTTTGCCTCTGTTTGTAAGTCAGCCACATTGCTGAGATGTGGTCTGCCCCCACCAAATTTCGCAAGTCAGAAGTATTTTCCCGTTAACTTCCCAGATGCAATAGGAATCCATGATCTAGATTAGCAGCAGTGTGGGTCTGTAGATTTCAGCGTGAGAGAGGCCCAGTAGGTGAGCTATGGGAGGCAGGCAACTCGGAATCGCACTGTGAAATGCAGTTTTTATAATTTAAGTCAAACAGAATCTGTTGCTGAAAAATGAATGGAAAGAAGAAAAAAATATAAACATACAGTTTGTTCTAAAATAAAACTTTGCTTATTATTGAGACTGGTTGTACTCATGTTACATACATGTGGAGCAGATCTACAGGCTGCTATTGGGGTTTGGGTGGGGAAGAGAAGTCAAGCTGAGCAGTCACCTTTTTTTAGAGAGTACCGTAGCTCTTGTATGTGCTGTCCAATATGGTAGACATGAGCCACATTGGGCTATTTAAATGGAATGAAATTAAAAATTCATATTCGTTGTCACATTAGCTGCATTTCAACTGCTCAACAGCCACCCTGGCTACTGGCTCCCATATTGAACAGCACACATGTACAACATTTCTATAAAGTTATTTGAATAGTGCTGGATAATAAGTAGGAATCCGTTGAAACTCCAGCTATATGCAAAGCTCTAAATAGGCCCTAATAGATATAACCAGTTTTTTGGGTGACATTAAGGAGACATTTGCTGTGGAAACGAAGGATGGCCCTCTTCCTGCTTTCTGTTTTTCTTCTTCACTTTCACTCCTAGTCTGCAGCGCTTCTATTTAACCACAGCTCTTTATAATTAAAGTGAGTAACTTTAGAACCAATAAAAGGACATCCTCCTTCCCATGCCTAGGGGCAAACTTAAGAAATGTGTTACCCGGGAGGGGGAAAACGTCAGCAATAGGACTAAGTCTAGGTTGGTGCACAGAGAACCCAGGAGGCATGTTGATAAGGCATGTGGTGTTGAGGCGCAGGCAGTGGTGTTCCCAGCACCATTCCCTTTGGTGCTCTGATTAGAGATTAAGCCCTGGGCTTCAGGGGCCACCTCTCATTCTTGATAGACAACCTCAATGCTCTGCTACCCTGAATTCTCAGGTTGAGCTGGAGGTTCCCCAGCTCTGCAGCTTCATCCTGAAGACCAGCCAGTGCACCCTGAAAGAGGTGTATGGCTTCAACCCTGAGGGCAAAGCCTTGCTGAAGAAAACCAAGAACTCTGAGGAGTTTGCTGCAGCCATGTCCAGGTAAGTCATGTTGTACATGAGCACACGCATGTGTGTGTGTCCGCTGAGGTATGAACTTGTGTGTTTGCACCAGGCACGGATGTGACTGTAAGTATTTGTATTCCGTATCCATCGTGGATCAGGGAATTACTGAGTTTTCACAATCATCAAAAAGAGAGAAGCATTAGTTAACCTTCCCTAGTTAGGTTCCTTTAATTATCATTTTCATGTGTTTCTAAAAATCTCATGCTTTAAACTTCTTGAGATTATAAAACTGAGATGCTTTGTTTAAACAAGTGAATTCTTATTTAAAGAACTAGTCAAGACTAGTGCTTGGTGGTCTTTGGTGTGGGGTCCCAGAGGCACTGGCTGCTGTGGCCGGCACATGGCGGGGCAGGGTCTGTTCACCGCAGGGCAGAGGAGCACCAAGGCTTCGGTGGCTCCCCCTCCTAGGCTGGCATTCAGCCACTGCACGCTGATCGGCCACTGCAGCTGCATCTCTGCTGACTGGTCAGGGCCCATGTCGCACCCATTGTAAATATTTTCAACATCACCCCTGCCTCATCCTCAATCACAGTTTGTAGGGTCCTAGGTGTGTATGAATACAGGCAGGATAGAGTTGTTAACTTGGTAGCATCAGAAAACTCTGTCTGTATTAGTCTGTTTTCATGCTGCTGATAAAGACATACCTGAGACTGGGCAATTTACAAAAGAAAGGTTTATTGGACTCACAGTTCCACGTGGCTGGGGAGGTCTCACAATCATGGCGGAAGGTGAGGGACAGCAAGTCACATCTTATGTAGATGGTGGCTGGCAAAGAGAGCTTGTGCAGAGAAACTCCTGTTTTTAGAACCATCAGATCTCCCGACACCCATCTGCAATCACGAGAACAGCACGGGAAAGACCTGCCCCCATGATTCAATCACCTCCCCCCGGGTCCCTCCCACAACACGTGGGAATTATGAGAGCTACGAGACGAAATTTGGGTGGGGACGCAGAGCCAAACCATATCACCATCCTTGCCCATTTTTCAGTTTTGCTAAACATTAGATTCAGATGCCAGTCCTTTCTTGCCAAAATAGGCTGTGAGGCTTCTTTCTTTCCTATGCTTTATTTTCTCCAAGACTTAACTGTATATGAGGGAGAGGGGTATGGTGGCAGGAGGAAAGAGTGGTTTATTTTTTGGTCCTTGGTCTTCTCCAAATACAGAAGAGACTCCTGTTCTTGAAAAGGAGGGCTTTCCATGTTTGCATCTTCATGACTTTAACTGTCTTTTTTAAAAATTGACATACAATAATTATACATATTTATTGAGAACATAGTGATATTTTGATACATGTAATGTATGGTGATCAGATCAGAGTAATTAGCATACCCATCATCTCAAACATTTATCATTTCTTCGTGTTGGGAACTTTCTGAGAGAGTGTAGGCTGTGGGAGATAAGTCCGTCACCTTTTCCTCCTGATGTAACCAGAGTGGCTGCAGCCAGGTCCTCAGAAACTCAGAGAGTACCCAGTGGGAAATCCCTAAGACCAAAGTCAGCATGGGCTTCAGCCATGGCCTGACACCATACAAAAGAATGACTGTCCAACAAGTGTATGAAAATAAGCTCCAATTCACTGGTAGTCAAGAAATGCGAATTAATGTAACAACAAGATATTTATCTGCTTTTACCCATCATACTGCAAAACTGGAAAACAGTGATAGCACCTGTTGCTGGCAGGCCAGTGAGGAAAAGTGTGCTGTCCTGAGCTGCTGGTGGAAACGAGAGCCATCAGGCAATATCTACTGTAATTTAAAATACTTAATACCCTTTGACACAGATATTTTAGTCTTTGGGACTCTAGCCCATGAAAATAAAAGCAGTAATGTGTGAAGATAGGCACATAAGGATGTTTGTTTTGGTATTGTTTGTGTGGTTTAAAAAAAATCCAGAAAGAGAGAGGGCAAATGCCATCAAATGGGGCAATGTGTGAATAAATTATATTTAGCCATGGAATGGAATGTTCTGCATGCAGCTTTTAAAAAAATCTGTTAGAGCTGTACCAAGTGACTCAGAAGGATTTTTGTGAAGTATAATTAAGTGAGAAAAACAAGATAAAAGTATGCATAATACAATGCCACTTGTATAAAACAAACAATGGCAAAATCTTTGTATGACTCTGTTTGCACTCACCCATGTTTACAGAGGATTGTATGAGTGTGCAGAAACAAATGGAACAACCACTCGGGTGTCCGTATGGGGAGGATGGGCAAAGAGACTGATATGGGTGGAGAACAGAGCAGGGCTGGATGAGCCAAGCAAAAAAAGTTAAAACACAGCTGGACCTGGTGGCTCATGCCTGTAGTCCCAGCACTTTGGGAGGCCGAGGAGGGAGAATCACCTGAGGTCAGGAGTTTGAGACCAGCCTGGCCAACATGGTGAAAACTGTCTCTACTAAAAATACAAAAATTAGCTGGGTGTGATGGCACATGCCAGTAGTCCTAGCTACTCCGGAGGCTGAGGCAGGAGAATCACTTGATCCCAGGAGGTGGAGGTTGCAGTGAGCTGAGGTTGCGCCATTGCACTCCAGCCCGGGCGACCGAGCGAGACTCCATTTCAAAAAAAGAAAAAGAAAAAAGAAAAAAAGAAAAAAAAAGAATCACCAAAACTTATGTATATGTGCATACTTTTTTGAAAATGTATGTCTATGTGTAGCTATATTCTATATTTACAAATAAATGATGTCAGAAGAACAATTGGTTAAAAAAATATGAGAAAAGAAACTTCAGTGCCACCCAGCTTACTTCCAGCAAGTTGTAATGGAGAAGGACATTTCCGTGACCATCCTCTCTCTGGGACAGGTATGAGCTCAAGCTGGCCATTCCAGAAGGGAAGCAGGTTTTCCTTTACCCGGAGAAAGATGAACCTACTTACATCCTGAACATCAAGAGGGGCATCATTTCTGCCCTCCTGGTTCCCCCAGAGACAGAAGAAGCCAAGCAAGTGTTGTTTCTGGTGAGGATTTAGAAAGCTGATAGCAGTGGCCCTTGAAACTCATCTTCATGTGTTAGAGACCAGTCCTACCATATACAAAGCAGATCACTGAGTCAGCTCCATGACTAGTTACATAGGAAGCCCTGGATTGGCGTGAAATACTGGTGCCCGAGGTTCCTCCTGCCCCTTAGGCTCACTGACAGATCATCCCAAGCAGGCTTATCAGGTTGGGTCTAATTTTAAAACAGTCATTGAGGAGTCCTGGCCACCCCACCCCTGCTTTTGTTTGATGCTTCACCTGTGTTTGCTGGGTTATGGTGTACACAGTAAATCCTGTGTGTATTTTAAACACCAAAAATAATGGGATCTGTTGCTGGTCTCTTTTACGAATTTCAGGTTTCACTGTGAGACAGAATTCATTTCACCTCAGTCCCATGAGCACTTTTGTGTGTTCTAATTTCTCTACGACACCATAATGGGAGAAGACACCGATGCAACCTGCGGAGGCCTTTCTGCAGACCCACCTTTAACTGGTTTTCTCTCTCCCAACTTGGGCTGGCCAGGCACTAGCAAGACCACACTCTGCATAGGAAGAAAAAGAAAGTCCCTCCCAAAGCTAGATTCCTTCTGCTTTTTCTTTCACGATCCCCACCCCATCCCTCCCAAGTACCCAAGGATGTTGCCCGTGTTGAATACATGTGGTTGCATCTTCTTCCTCCATAGGATACCGTGTATGGAAACTGCTCCACTCACTTTACCGTCAAGACGAGGAAGGGCAATGTGGCAACAGAAATATCCACTGAAAGAGACCTGGGGCAGTGTGATCGCTTCAAGCCCATCCGCACAGGCATCAGCCCACTTGCTCTCATCAAAGGCATGGTAAGTCCCATGTCAGCACTGTCGTGCACAGCAAGGAGCATCCTCTTATTAATACAATTCCAGAACTTTTGAGCTAGTGGGCACCTTTGAGGACAGCCTGCCCTGGCTGTTTTTTATACAGACTAGAGATAGGACCCTGAGCAGGCACGGGAAGGTCTGCCCAGGCTTCACGGCCTGGGATCAGTTGAGCCAAGGCTTGAGTCAGGCTCCTCCCTCCCAGCCCAGAGCTCTGTCTTTCCTCCTGTCCTTCTGTCACTGGCACCAAACTGCCTCTAATCTCATCACTTGAGAGTAATGACTACTCACCTCTGAGAAGGTTCCGGGGATGGATGTAGGGCAGCAAAACCACCTTCTGTTCTTTTCTGCACAAGGACTCCTTGTGCCAGCTCCAAGCCTCTGGCCTTTGAAGAAGTCCCAAGACCTGTGTTCTCCCCCTCTCCCTCATCCCATGAAGTGGAGTGACTTAGAGTGCTCCAGCTTCTTGTCCTTCCACCCCCAGTACCACCCTGACCAAACATGGCCCCACTGCCACCGGCCTGGAGCACCCTCTCCTCTCTGTTAACTGGGGCCATGGAGCACCATATTACCTGAGCCTGCCTGACCCCTGCAACATCTTCCCTGATATGAGCCCCAGCCTGTCTCAGTGAACATGAATAACTTGGGCAATCACTGTCATGCTGGGCGCTGTTCCTGGTCATTGTCCTTAGGGTTGAAAACAGGGAGTCTGATGACCATGAGTGCCACAGTCAGAAGAGGATAATGCACTGGCTTAGGGGTCTTTTCTGAGCATCTGCTGTTTGCTCAACCCCACTCTGGGCAGCACCAAGGAAGGGACAGTGGCAGATGAACCATGGACCTTCCCCTCAGGATGCTTCCAGTCTAATGCAGGAGCCAGGTCAATAAAGTATACGTGGTATACTCAATAAGGTGATAAGCTGAACAGTGCAGACAAGAAGTCCTGGGCCTGACCAGGAAGGAGAAAGAATTATTCATGTAGCTCAGCGGGCAACATTTCATGGAAGATGTGGAGCAGGAACCCAAAAAATGCAAAGAATATGTAAATGAAAGAGACATGTAAGAATGGGCTTTTGGGCAAAGAAAAGTTACTGAGCAGGTGTGTGAGGGGCTATGTGGTGGGATGGGCATGTGGAGGATACAAAGTTTAGACATTGTCCAGTGAGGGTGGAAAAAGAGGAGTCTACAGCTTGACTCAGCTTTGGGGATGCCGACTTGTTGCACCCCCTGGTCTAAATGTCAAGTACCCAGTTATCTTCTTTCTCTGAGTTTATCTAGTGGTACAGGACTCCTGCTCCCTTCTACCTTGAAGGTAAATGCTTTTAACAGAAGATACAGGGACTGATCAAAATGCTCGTCTCCAATCTCTTTCATAGACCCGCCCCTTGTCAACTCTGATCAGCAGCAGCCAGTCCTGTCAGTACACACTGGACGCTAAGAGGAAGCATGTGGCAGAAGCCATCTGCAAGGAGCAACACCTCTTCCTGCCTTTCTCCTACAAGTAGGTCATGTGATGCACCCCTGATTTGTCATTTAATGGGTCAGTGTGAACTGAACACTTCTCAAGTGCTCTGTTCCAGGCAAACCTGTGCCTGGGAGGGAGGAATGGAGAGGGATAAAATGCCGCCCCTCCCTGTCCCCCTTTTTAAGCGAACAGGCCATTTGGCAGAAAAGTCCTAGGCATGCAAAACAATCCAAGACCAACAAAAGATATCTAAGACCCATTCTTTAAGGGCTGTAGATCCAGAAAACCTGAGGATCACTGCAGGGTACCCTGGTTAGAAAAGGTTTCATGGAAGATTTGGGATACTGACTGGAAACTTGTGTATCCAAATCCACTTTGAAAACTGATAATCAATGAATATATATTGAGTAACTGCCATATTCTTGGCTCTATGTTGTGGAAGATACGAAAGAATTTTGAGACATTGCACTAGTTCCTACCTCTGGCCACTCCAGACTAGTGGAGAGTATAAGGCACGCATGTCTTTTTGATGGGAGGATAACTAGCGTGACCAGGAAGAGGTGGATGTTATTCATTCAGGGCCAACAATGGCTGGATTTACCCATGCTTTGAAAGATGGGCAGGACTTGGGTAGATGCAGAGACAGGGAAAACCTTCAACATGGAAAGAATAGTATGTTCTGGCCATCCGTGACATGGTGTGCTTCCTTGGTTACCAGGAATAAGTATGGGATGGTAGCACAAGTGACACAGACTTTGAAACTTGAAGACACACCAAAGATCAACAGCCGCTTCTTTGGTGAAGGTAAGAGTTTCTGTCCACATAGTTGCTGGAAAATCTACTCAAGATGTGCCTATCATGGCTTAGCCACTTGCTGAGCCCTGTTAAATGTCTGCTGACTAACAAGTGATACAGACACTGGTGTTCTGGCTACCTCTAGTGAGAAAGCAAACTCATTTCATGATGTCAAGTTGCAATGGCATAAAGGAAAAGAAGTTCCCAAAGCTACTTAGGCATTTGTAAATAGAAAACTGGAATCCTAAGTTTAACATGACATATTTGATAGAACTGACATCACCCATCCTGTGATAAGATCCAGAGCTGTCCCAGACGAGGTGGACCAAGTGGGAGAGAACCTTCAGAGTCTGGCCAGATAGTAACCTCAGGAGTCAGTCTTTAGAGGTAGAAGGAACTCTAACAATCTCAAGTCCAACCCTTACCCAGTATTGTATTGTATTTATATCTGTCCAAATTCCTTCTTGTACATTACCTCATTGTCCTTTTTGCTCATAGCAACCTGTGATGTCAGGTGGTAGAGATGTGATTTTATACCTATTCTACAGAGGAGACAGTGACACAGAGAGGCTTAGAGTTTGATGTAGTCAAGGCCGCAGAATATTAGAGGGGGGAAAATAAGTGCCAGGTTGTAATCTAAGCCAGGACTATTCTCATTACACCACATTTCCATGATGACTTTTACCTCTCTTCCTGGCATAGGTCACAGTAGGTGGTGGAGAGGATACAAAAGTGTCTCCCCTCCCCACAAGCTGCTGGTAGACCCAATTAGAAGAAATGGTGATAAGCACCCATGTGCCTGGTCCCAGTTGTAACCATGTCAACAGTAGCACCTCCTCACCAATTATTTCAAGCTAAGGGTAACCTGATGATAGACTCAGACAAGTCTGGATTCCACTTTAGCTCTACCTCTTAGACCCTGAGAGCTCTTGGGAAACCTAAGTTGCTCATCTCTGGGTCACACTTCCTCATCTCTGGGTCTCATCTCTTTGTCTCATCTCTGGGACTCAGAGCTGAGATCCAGGGATGAGCAATTTACATGGCCCAAAAACTCTGTGGGTCTCAGAAGCAGGGCTGAATTTATCATTAAATTGAACAATAATGCCACCCCACAGGGATAGGATGATGAGTCAGTGAAAACAAGTCAATCACCTATGGCAGAGCCAGATCTAGCAGGCATTGAATACAGGATAGTTTCTTTCCCTTTTCCCCTGTGCTGATACTCCACAATTTCCAGCTTCCAGTAGACAAAGATATGGTTGAGATGAAGAAAGCTAGAGTTCCTTTGACACTTTCCATCTTCCAGGTACTAAGAAGATGGGCCTCGCATTTGAGAGCACCAAATCCACATCACCTCCAAAGCAGGCCGAAGCTGTTTTGAAGACTCTCCAGGAACTGAAAAAACTAACCATCTCTGAGCAAAATATCCAGAGAGCTAATCTCTTCAATAAGCTGGTTACTGAGCTGAGAGGCCTCAGTGATGAAGCAGTCACATCTCTCTTGCCACAGCTGATTGAGGTGTCCAGGTATCTAATGGTTACAGCTCAACTTTTTATAAAACTGATGGTAACTGACTGAACTTTCAAACCTTGGCCAAATGGAGAATCTCAGGGACCATTTGGATATCAATCCAGTTAATCAATTAGTCAATCAGTTCATGATTGCTGGATAGAGAACTATCAGCTGCTGCGCTGAGTTCCATGAAACACACACGCGCATACTGTGTTCAAGGCAGCTATGTATTTGTGTGTTAAAACAGAAGGAGAATAGTTCCCACATTTTGATGGGTAACTTTTAATTCCTAGGTCTATTGCAGGTGCTCTCCAGAAGCTTATAGGCTGGTGGAGAGAGAACTCAGACGAAAAATATAATATGATTTCTCTACCCTTCAAGGCACTGGCTTTAAGTGCTATGAAGGTGAGAGAAGGGACTGAGGCCAGGAATGAGACCCAGCTAATGTTGGCCAGGCATATTCTGTGTGCTGGCCAAAGGACTGTGATAACAGTCTTCTTGTTGCTACAGATCCACAGTCCCCTCTTGGAACTTTTCTCGATTGGGCTTCTTCTGTGGGTAATATTCCTAAGGAAAGCATCATGGTTCTGAGCTCCAAGTTGGGTTTTGAAGTTAGATTTGAATAGTGAATGAGGTGATTAAGGGCTCTCCTGGCAGAGGACACACCATGAGCAATATTTTATGTGCCCTGAAGGTGGTCTGTATAACTTTATCCATGTCTTTCTTCTCAGCCCCATCACTTTACAAGCCTTGGTTCAGTGTGGACAGCCTCAGTGCTCCACTCACATCCTCCAGTGGCTGAAACGTGTGCATGCCAACCCCCTTCTGATAGATGTGGTCACCTACCTGGTGGCCCTGATCCCCGAGCCCTCAGCACAGCAGCTGCGAGAGATCTTCAACATGGCGAGGGATCAGCGCAGCCGAGCCACCTTGTATGCGCTGAGCCACGCGGTCAACAAGTGAGTTTCCACACTGTATTTCTCCTCCTAGGAGCAGAGGAACATCTTGCACCTCTGTGCATCTCTGTATTAAAACTGAACCCCTCCTTCCACTTTCAAACTCTGCTCCTTACTCTTGTGTTTTTTCTTGATCATTTTTGGGGTAATGACTTGAAATAAGAAATCAGCAAACACAAATTGAATTTTTAAAAATATTTTCTCTACATTATATTATAAAAGTTTTTGAACATAGCAAAGTTGACAGAATTTCACAGGGAAAACCCCTAGAAAACCAGCTATCTCCTACTATTTAAGTGTTATTATATTTGCTTTATCACATATACATCCATCCATTAATTCATCTTATTTTCTGAAGCATTTCAAAGTAAATTGCAAACATCAACACACTTTCCCCTAAGTATTACAGCTTGCATATTATTAACTTCAGTTCAATATTAGTTAGCAGTTTTTTCCTCTGAATTTTTTTGTTTGTTTGTTTTGTTTTTTTTTGTTGTTGTTGTTTTTTTGAGATGGTCTCACTGTGTCACCCAGGCTGGAGTGCAGTGATGCAGTCACGGCTCACTGAAGCCTCAAATTCCTGGGCTGAAGTGATCCTCCCACCTCAGCCTCCTGAGTAGCTGGGACCACAGGTGCATGCTACCATGCCCTGGCTAATTTTTGTATTCTTGGTAGATACAGGGTTTCACCATGTTGCTCAGGCTAGCAGGTTTTTCCTTTGATGAAATTTTTTGGCTTTTTCTTTTTTACATTTTTATATAAATTTATGTGGAACAAGTGTAATTTTGTTACATGAATAGATTGTGCAGTAGTTAAGTCAGGGCTTTCAGGGTATCCATCACCCAGACAACATATAGTGTACCCACTAAGTAATTTCTCACCATCCATCTCCCTCCACTTCCACACCTTCTGAGTCTCAATTGTCTATCATTCCACACACTATGTCCTTGTGTGCACATTATTTCACTCCCACTTATAAATGACAACACGCAATATTTGTCTTTCTGTGACTGTCCTGTTTCACTTAAGACAATGACCTCCAGTTCCATCCATGTTGCTGCAAATGACATGATTTTATTCTTTTTATGGCCGAATAGTATTTTATTGCCTATACATTTCACATTTTTAATCCAATCGTCCATTGATAGACACTTAGGTTGATTCCATGTCTTTGCTATTGTGAATAGTGCTGTGATAAACATATGGGTGCAGGTTTCCTTTGGATATAATGATTTCTTTTCCTTTAGGTATATACCCAGTAATGGGATTGTTGGATTTATTGGTAGTTCTATTTTTAGTTCTTTGAGAAATCTCTGTATTGTTTTCCATAGTGGTTGTACTTATTTACAATCCCATCAACAGTGATTAACTGTTTCCTTTTCTCTGTATCCTCACCAACAACTGTTATTTTTTGTCTTTTGAATAATGGCCCTCCTGACTCTTGTAAGATGTTATCTCATTGTGGTTTTAATTTACATTTCTCTAATGATTAGTAATGTTATGCATTTTTTCATATGCCTATTGCCATTTGTATGTCTTCTTTTGAAAAAAATGTCTATTCATGTCCTTTGCCTACTTTTTAATGGGATTATTTGGGGGATTTTTTTGTTGAGTTGTTTGAATTGCTTGTACATTCCGGATATTAGTACCCCATTGGATGAATAGTTTGCAAATATTTTCTCCCATTCTGCAGGTTACCACCCTGTTGATTATTTGTTTTACTGTGCAGAAACTTTTTACTTTAATTAAGTTCTATTTGTCTATTTTTTGTTTTTGTTGTCTTTGCCTTTGAGGTCTTATTCACGAATTCTTTGTCTAGGCCAATGTCCAGAGAAGTTTTCCCTAGGTTTTCTTCTTGCATTTTTATAGTCTCAGGTCTTATATTTAAGTCTTTGATCCATCTTGAGTTGATTTTTTTATATGGTGACAGATAGGAGTCCAGTTTTATTCTTCTGCATATGGCAATCCATCTTTCCCAGCACCACTTATTGAAAAGGGTGTCCTTTCCCTAGTGTATGTTTTTGTCAATTTTGTCAAAGATCCGTTGACTGTAAGTATGTGACTTTATTTCTGGGTTCAGTATTCTGTTCCATTGATCTATGTGTCTATTTTTATGCCAGTACCATGCTGTTTAGATTACTATAGCCTTGTTGTATAATCTGAAGTCAGGTAATGTGATGCCTCCAGCTATGTTCTTTTTGCTTAAAATTGCTTCAGCTATTCAGGCTCTTTTTGGATTCCATATGAATTTTATAATTATTTTTTCTAATTCACAAGTTTGGGTTTTAAGACAAACCTAACTGGGGTTACCAAGTCCTGACTCTCTTCTCTTATTCTGTAGCTATCATAAGACAAACCCTACAGGGACCCAGGAGCTGCTGGACATTGCTAATTACCTGATGGAACAGATTCAAGATGACTGCACTGGGGATGAAGATTACACCTATTTGATTCTGCGGGTAATCTCAGTCTTTTATATGACATACATCATTTCAGAAGCACTTTTCCTGGACACCTTTTACTTCCCTCTCCTGCACCCTGATGGGTTCTTGTTTCTTTTCTTCAATGCAGGTCATTGGAAATATGGGCCAAACCATGGAGCAGTTAACTCCAGAACTCAAGTCTTCAATCCTGAAATGTGTCCAAAGTACAAAGCCATCACTGATGATCCAGAAAGCTGCCATCCAGGCTCTGCGGAAAATGGAGCCTAAAGACAAGGTAAAGTCCACAAGAAGAGGTCTGAAAGTGAAAGTTTATTAACAAGGATTTGGAAGGTACTAGGGGAATGAGACTCTAGATTTCATCTACTGACTTTATTCTGCTGTTTCTTTCCTTTCCTTCCTTCCTTCCTTCCTTCCTTCCTCCCTCCCTCCCTTTCTTCTTTCCTTCCTTCCTTCCTTCTTTCGAGATGGAATCTCACTCTATTGCCCAGGCTGGAGTGCAGTGGCATGATCTCGGCTCACTGCAACTTCTGCCTCCTGGGTTCAAGCAATTCTCTCTGCCTCAGCCTCCTGAGTAACTGGGATTACAGGCATGTGCCATTACACCCAGCTAATTTTTGTATTTTTTAGTAGAGATGGAGTTTTGCCATGTTGGCCAGGCTGGTCTTGAGCTCCTGACCTCAGGTGATCCGCCTGCCTCAGCCTTGCAAAGTGCTGGGATTACAGGCGTGAGCCACTGCACCTGGCCTCTACTGTTTTCTAATTGCAAATTTCAACAAGCCTATTGACTTGACTGCCTAGCAGTATGTGACGTGAGAGAAATACTTGACTTTGCTGCTATGTCAACATGCAGAACGTGAGATGTTTTTGCTTCCTACCGTCCACCTACCAGATTGACCATCCCTCTCATCATGGAAAAACATGCTTAATTTTCCCCCAATAAGCTTAGGCTAGGATAGCCAACTTGGCCCCCTCTTAGGTGCAAAGACTCCAGAACTTTGGAAACTACCCTATTTATTAGCCCCAAACTCTTACTACCCCTTCTCATCTTTATCCTCACATTAAAATAACTTACGTTAAAACAACTTGATTTTCACTTAGTGGTGGATCTCCAAACAAATCACAACTTGGCCATAATTTATGTGTTTTAATGGAATTGAATTCAACAGGCATTCCACAGGCTTTTTCTGGGAACCCTTACTTGATAGTGCTCTAGGAAACACTGGCAAGAAGATTCAATACCAGCATTTGAAGAACGATTACAGAGAAATTAGACCTGTGCTTAAGAAAGAGCTAGCAGACAATGCCAGTGTTTGCCAGGCATGTTCTGTGTTCTGACCACAGGACAGTGATAACCATCTCCTCTTTTGACTGCAGGACCAGGAGGTTCTTCTTCAGACTTTCCTTGATGATGCTTCTCCGGGAGATAAGCGACTGGCTGCCTATCTTATGTTGATGAGGAGTCCTTCACAGGCAGATATTAACAAAATTGTCCAAATTCTACCATGGGAACAGAATGAGCAAGTGAAGAACTTTGTGGCTTCCCATATTGCCAATATCTTGAACTCAGAAGAATTGGATATCCAAGAGTAAGTAAGAGCTATTCACCCCATATACCACTGAGGGCCCTGAGCTGGAATTCCAACCCTAGGTTTTGGCATAGCCACTGTCTGCCCTTGCTTCTGAAACAAACACTTGTGCAAATGTGTAGCAGATCTAGACCCAAAGACTTAGGGTCAATGAAATCAAGACATTTTGGTAGTGATTGGAAATCCATATTTACTTGGGGTGCAAGAGTCAAAGGATAATAACATGGTGTGTCAGCTCAAAATATACTTCTTCTTATCTAGTCTGAAAAAGTTAGTGAAAGAAGCTCTGAAAGAATCTCAACTTCCAACTGTCATGGACTTCAGAAAATTCTCTCGGAACTATCAACTCTACAAATCTGTTTCTCTTCCATCACTTGACCCAGCCTCAGCCAAAATAGAAGGGAATCTTATATTTGATCCAAATAACTACCTTCCTAAAGAAAGCATGCTGAAAACTACCCTCACTGCCTTTGGATTTGCTTCAGCTGACCTCATCGAGGTAAGTGTGAAGAGTTTGAGGTTCTCTAGCCCATTTTGTACAGCATCATAAACAGAGAGTCCCTGGGAGCCAGGAGCTACCCAGAGGAAAACTAAGAACCACCAGGCACTTCCTACCATGATTCTGAGGCTTTCTTCTTTCCCTCCTTCCCCGCCTTCCTCTCTCCCCGCTAGGGGTCACCTGAAGCATGACTTCTTAACATTAATAGAAATGCAGGCCTGGCGAGGTGGCTCACTCCTGTAATCCCAGCACTTTGGGAGGCCGAGGCGGGTGGATCATGAGGTCAGGATATCGACACCATCCTGGCTAACACGGTGAAAGCCCATCTCTACTAAAAATACAAAAAATTAGCCGGGCGTGGTGGCAGGCACCTGTAGTCCCAGCTACTTGGGAGGATGAGGCAGGAGAATGGCGTGAACCCAGGAGGCTGAGCTTGCAGTGAGCCGAGAGATTGCGCCACTGCGCTCCAGCCTGGGCGACAGAGCAAGACTCCATCTCAAAAAAAAAAAAAAAAAAAAAAATTGAAATGCAAATGTCTCGTCTTTAAGTCCCAAAGCCAAGGAAGCATATGTGCTGCCTAGTCAGATCTGCTTCAAATCTCAAATCACTCCCAACTCTGAATCCTTTGTTGAATTATTTGTCCTATCTGAACCTTAGCTGCCTCTTCTAGAAAAAAGCAAGTAATAAGGTCAAGATTCTAGTGAGATTTTAATAAAGCAGCTCCTGTGAAATGCTAAGGTCAGCTCCTGGCCTGTGGTATTCAAATACTTGTTTAGATAAATGGACATCAAGAGTGGGGACTACTAGGCTGGCATACAACAAAGAAACCTGATGCCATTTTCTTGTCTGATTTTCTTTCTCAGATTGGCTTGGAAGGAAAAGGCTTTGAGCCAACATTGGAAGCTCTTTTTGGGAAGCAAGGATTTTTCCCAGACAGTGTCAACAAAGCTTTGTACTGGGTTAATGGTCAAGTTCCTGATGGTGTCTCTAAGGTCTTAGTGGACCACTTTGGCTATACCAAAGATGATAAACATGAGCAGGTGTGTATTTGTGAAGTATCTTCTTAAGGAAAGCTTTGGGTCTCAATGCAAAAACAATTCTTTTCTAAGCATGGAAGTCCTCAAAATACTATCTAACTGAAGGGATAACTATGGTTTTTATCAACCAGACCTGCTGGGGTAAGGGCCAGTATCCTCTGCAGTTAAAGATCTCCTGAATTCAGTGTGCCCAGAAACCAGACTCACAATAAGTACTCTAGGATAACAAGAGTATGAACTCTGGGCTGGGTGTGGTGGTTCATGCCTGTAATCCCAGCACTTTGGGAGGCCAAGGTGGGCAGATCACAAGGTCAGGAATTTGAGACCAGCCTGGCCAACATACTGAAACCCCGTCTCTACTAAAAATACAAAAAAACTAGCTGGGCATGGTAGTGGGTGCCTGTAATCCTAGCTACTCGGGAGGCTGAGACAGGAGAATTGCTTGAACCCGGGAGGTGGAGGTTGCAGTGAGCCGAGATCACGCCGTTACACTCCAGCCCGGGTGACAGTGTGAGACTGTATCTTAAAAAAAAAAAAAGTATGAACTCTGGGCATAGATTTAATTCTAACTTCCCTGTCTTGAAGCTGTGCGCACTTGGGGAAGTTGGTTGATATTATGTGTATCTGTTTCTGTCTGTATCCCAGACTACTAATAACAGTCCAAACCTCACAAGGTTATTTAAAGACAATGAAATAAGGCATCTAAAATGCCAAGCACAGTGCCTGATGCTGGCATTGGTTGTTCAATAAGCAGACACTATTACGAGTTCTAAATTAATATTTTCATTATTATTAACTGCTGTCTTTGGCTCTCACTCCCATCAGTGCACTAGCAAATGAGACCAAACTTCCACTTTGAAGCTAGCAATGAGCCCCCATTTAAGGAGGGAAATAGGTTGTATGATCTGGAGCTTATTCTTGAATTTTTTGCTACCCAAAGTGTGGTCTGGTCAGAAATACAGCTTCTCATGCTTCACCCACAATCTACTGAATCAGAAGCGCATTTTAGCAAGACCTCATGTGACTTGTATGCACATTCAACTTTGCAGAGCAAGGCAGTAATTTACCCCTCCAGGCTCACTGTTGAGCACGAGCTCCATCTTCTAATTTCCTGACCCCCACTTGAGGCCGAGGATCTTTGATCTGCTTTGAGTCTGTCAGTTTCACATTTTTTTTTTCCCAATGCCTGGGCATCCATCTCTGAGATTCTTCTTCTCTCTGAGAAGAACTTGTCTAGGATCAAGTGTTTTTCAAACTTCTGGTGAATTTATATAACAGCTACATTTTCTTAAGAAACACCTTGTAGTCTTCACTGGTCAAAGAAGAGAAGGCTAAGCAGGGAACGGGTGGGGGATAGAGGATCTTCTAATCTTGAGGATCCTGGCATACTGGAGAATAGGGACCCCTCCTCTCATCCCACCACATCTTACTATGTCTACAGATTTTTTAATTAAGAATAGCTTTAGGAGTGCCACTATCCCTGACAAGACCTTAGTTCTTTAATCTCTGCTTAGAGGAATTAGCCTGGACTTCAGTGTCTCCCTGTTCCTCACCTGGAGCATTTTTTAGGCCCATCCTGGCTGCATCAGACAGGTCCCACATTGGGAACTGAAAGGTGTTTGACATTGCTGACATCTCACTGGCCATTTTATTACTAAACTCTCAGGATATGGTAAATGGAATAATGCTCAGTGTTGAGAAGCTGATTAAAGATTTGAAATCCAAAGAAGTCCCGGAAGCCAGAGCCTACCTCCGCATCTTGGGAGAGGAGCTTGGTTTTGCCAGTCTCCATGACCTCCAGCTCCTGGGAAAGCTGCTTCTGATGGGTGCCCGCACTCTGCAGGGGATCCCCCAGATGGTAAGTCAGCAGGCCCCACTGGGGGCCCATGAGACCAGACGTTGGTTTTTTTTTAGATCGCCCAGACTCCCTTACGATCCCAGCTGCACAAGCCCGAAAAGATGCTTGTACTTTCTTCAGAGATGGAGGTTTGCCTTGAATTTCACTGAAGATGACTCTTGGATCACATGGAAATGTTAACATTTAGAAATTAAGCTATTCATAATGTTAGCTGTATTTTTAAGAGCATTAATTTATTCATCTGGAAAACAATGTTCGGTATACCTTCCTCTACCTTTGCTGAAGGTCCTTTTATTTTTATTTTTATTTTTTTAATTTTTTGAGATGGAGTCTTGCTCCCAGGCTGGAGTGCAGTGATACAATCTCGGCTCACTGCAACTCTGCCTTCCGGGTTCAAGCAATTCTCCTGCCTCAGCCTCCCAAGTAGCTGGGACTGTGGACGTGCACCAGCATGCCCGGCTAATTTGTGTATCTTTAGTAGAGACAAGCCTGTTGACAACCATGTCAGGCTGGTTTCGAACTCCTGACCTCAAGTGATCCTCCAGCCTGGGCCTCCCACAGTGCTGGAATAACAGGTGTGAGCCACTGCACCTGACCTGAAGGTCCTTTTAAGATTGAAATGATACAATGATTATAAAAGAAAGTATTTGGCAAACTATAATTCACTATCTAAATATGCTATAATTTTTATTATTAATTCATAAAAGGAAATATATAAATGTACTCCTATGGCTTGATTAAAAAAATGTTGACTTTAAGAAAACAGGTCTCAAGCTATTTTATTGAAATATTATTTAAAAAATAAAACCCAATGCAAATTGATATGTACATCATCTCAATAGGCCTTTGGTTTCAAAAAATTGATTTTATCATAATATAATACATTTCAAGTACACCTTCACTTACAGTCAGACTCCAGAACACCAGAATTAAGCCATGGCATATATGATACTTAAAGTCCATAAAGCTCTGAGGCCCAGCAATATTCTTAAGAGCCTTCTGAGTCCACTTGAAAATGACATGATATCTATCTAGTGAAATTTCTTATATCCTGATTCACTGAAAACGGTAAAAACATCAGTTTGATCTTTATTTATCAAACTATTCAGCTCATCAAAATATGCTAGTCCTTCCTTTCCAGATAAAGAGGAATTACTCTCCAATGTATGGGAGGTTGTAATTAACAAAACCGACTTTAAAAAGACTTACTTTTATTTGCTCTCCCTTGTTGGGTCTACAGATTGGAGAGGTCATCAGGAAGGGCTCAAAGAATGACTTTTTTCTTCACTACATCTTCATGGAGAATGCCTTTGAACTCCCCACTGGAGCTGGATTACAGTTGCAAATATCTTCATCTGGAGTCATTGCTCCCGGAGCCAAGGCTGGAGTAAAACTGGAAGTAGCCAACGTAAGATTCTGTTTGCCTTTTGATTTCTTAGGTTATTACTTTCTTCCAGGGTGCATTTCTTGTTAAAACATATTTAAAAATGTGTTTCCACTTCAAGACAAAATGCTTCATCATTGTAATCACCTCATTATTTTTTTATGAAAAACTTCAAGCTTCCACCAGAATGCACTACCTCACTAGCTCCAGTAGTGGTATGGCCATAAGACAAGAACTCAGTTCTCTCAACAAATGAGTATTCCTATCATCTTTTTAATCTGGTTTTGCCTCACGTTAACTCAGGTGCTTTCTAGTTCTGGGTAGTATACTCCAACTCTAGAGAACTGAGAACTCGCTTTCCTTCTTCCAAACAAATCCCAGTAATGTTTCCAAAGGTCTGAGTTATCCAGGAAATCTTTGCCCGGAGGTGAGAAAGGGTGGTTGATCTGACTGACAGGGGACTGAAGTATTTAATGAATCTGAATAGGTTGTTTTCTGACTTATAGATGCAGGCTGAACTGGTGGCAAAACCCTCCGTGTCTGTGGAGTTTGTGACAAATATGGGCATCATCATTCCGGACTTCGCTAGGAGTGGGGTCCAGATGAACACCAACTTCTTCCACGAGTCGGGTCTGGAGGCTCATGTTGCCCTAA
Source organism: Homo sapiens (assembly GCF_000001405.40). NCBI lineage: Eukaryota > Metazoa > Chordata > Mammalia > Primates > Hominidae > Homo > Homo sapiens. The sequence goes on along the minus strand of NC_000002.12, from coordinate 21,022,894 downwards.
AAGCTGGGAAGCTGAAGTTTATCATTCCTTCCCCAAAGAGACCAGTCAAGCTGCTCAGTGGAGGGTAATTCTTTCAGCCAAGTCTGCCTAGCCAGTTTGAAAGAGAGAACAGAGAATGTACCTGCAGAATTTTGCCAGGCTAAACAGTTGATTGAGATCATTCAGGTCCTGAGGAAGCAGGAGAGGAGTAGAAAGGAAAGATTCCGGGTTACCTATTTTAATTCTAGCCTAGACTTACTACATAACTACATAATTACCTTTCTTCTACTTTTCACATTTTACTAAACTGTCCTTTATCTTTCTGCTTTGAGACTTATTAAGACCTACTGCTTAATTAGTTTTTATTAAGTTGTGATTTTTTGTTATCTATTTGTTTTGAGAATGAAGAAACAATAGCTCTGGAGAGATCATCTTTGGAAAATTAATATTTTCCCCCCCAAAAAATACCTAAGAACATATTGATTTGAGGTAGCTAGGTAGGTAAAGCATGAAACTCCTAACCTCGTGATAATGGAATACAGCCTCTTTTGGAGAGTTCCATTTTAAGTGGCACCCTCAACCATTGATTTGCCTTAGTTTTCATATTTTAGACACATTCATGTGTTCATTCAAAAATAATATTTAATTGGCCAGCCACGGTGGTTCATGCCTGTAATCCTAGCACTTTGGGAGCCCCAGGTGGATGGATCGCTTGAGCCCTGGTGTTTGGATACCAGCCTGGGCAACATGGCAAAACCCCATCTCTACAAAAAAAATTAAATAAATAACAAAATTAGCCAGTCGTGGTGGCACATGCCTGTAGCTCCAGCTACTCAGAAGGCTGAGATGGGAGGATCAACTGAGCCCAAGAGTTCAAGCCTTCAGTGAACCATGCTTGCACCACTGCACTCCAGCCTGGGAGACAGAGCAAGATCCTGTCTCACAAAAAACAAAAAATAGTATATTTAATTGCCTAATATATACCACGTATGTTGAGTGAGACACACAAGGTCCCTGACCTTTGAACGCTTACATTTTATAAGGGAGACACACAATTAAGCAAGCAGTAATCATAGAGTAAGGGCTAAGTTATAGAAAGTATTAGAGTACCATGAAATTTTATATCATGTAGCCTGTGCTAGTCAGGGAATGCATTCTGAAGCAAGTGTACTTGACCTGATAACTGAGGACTGTGTCAGAGTCATTTAGGCAAAGGAGAAAGGAGTGAGTGTTCCAGGCAAAAGGAAAAGCATGTAATGGCCTGAAGGTAAAGGAATATGGTTCAAGGAACTGGAAGAAGTGCAGAATGGTAAGGGGCTCAGAGATGATGGGGAGAGGTAGGCAGGGGAGAGAGCATGCCCAGCTGCGAAAGCCATCCTAAGGAGTTTGGACTCTTTTGAAGGCACAGGAGTTGAAAAGGGGAGCAGAAATAAGATAGGGGTGATGTTTTAGAAGAAATACTCTGACTCTAGTGTGGAAGATGGGTGAGAAGGAGGCACAGCTGGACACGAAGAGACCATTGGACATCTCTTACGATCCTATGTGGCTAAGAGCTGATAATGGCCTGCAGTGGAGAAAAGCCAGGTATAGAAAGGAGTGAGCAGATTCTACAACTTTCTAAGAGGCAGAATCATAAGTACTGGGTGATTAACTGGGTATGGGGACAAGGCAAAAGAAAGAAGAAAAGAGGAAGGAGGCGCCCTTCATTTTAATAAGAACTACAGTGGGAGAGCTTCTGGTTTCAAGGAAAGTGACAAATTCAGTTTTGGATGTGCTGTATTTGATGTCCTCCTATGAAACAACCAGTTTAGAAATCTAGCTGTCAAATAGACCTATGGATCTGAGCCCAGTAAAGAGGCTTGGGCTCCACATATGGATTTGGGAATCATTAGTATACAGAGGTTGTTGTGGTTAAACAGCAACTGGTATAGAGTGAGACATGAGAGATGAGGACAGAAATATGGAGAAGACAAACATATAAAGGAAGAAGGGGAATAACCAGCAATGAGTTAGAAGAAGTGACCAGAGAAGCAGAAGGAGAACCAAAGCCATAAAAGGTCACAGAAGCCAAAGAGCAGCCACAGGGGAGATCACCCCATGGGTAGGCGAAAGCTGGCATTAGGACTCCAGCACATCAGCAAAGCTTGGTCTTGTGGCACCCCCAACTTGGAGAAACAATACTTGGAGGAAAATGTGCTATTTCAAAGAAAGCATCCTTAGAAAAAACCAGGCCAATGTTGAACTTTCTTACATGTACTAAGTTTTTAAGTACACACTTGGAAGGAAGGTGCCATCATCTCTTCAGATGTGAGAGGCTCCAGCGTCTTAGTCTGGTCATGAGTGCGCAACTCTATGGAAGGCTTCTGGGAGGTCAAGGAAGATGAAACCTAAATATGCCCATTGGATGTAGGAGCAAGGAGGGCATTAGAGACATTGATGAAAGCATTTTCAGGAGATGGAGTGAGCAGTCAGAGCACATTGGGAGGAAGTAGAGACTGCAAAGGCAGACAACTCTTGATGGTGAGGAAGATGAGAAAGCAAGAAAAGAAAGAAAGGAGCATAGGGGAGGGGCACAGGGGAAGAGACTTGAGCGTGCTTAATGCAGGTGGAAGGAAGCAGGTAGAGAGTAGGAGATTTCATATGAAAGAGACAGTTTCTCTTGCCCTGCATTGTAGGAAGGAAGGGGCACACTGAAGTTCAGCCCCAGTGATCAGCTATTTAACATCTCTGAGCCTCTGCTTCTGTAAAATGAGAACCATAAGCCTACTGTTGTGGGGATTACAGGTAACAGATGGAAAGAACTCAGCCAGAAGCTTCAGAGTCACTCTCATGGCTTGTCATGTTGATGTTCTTTCTAATATTATTTGTTTCTCAGTAAATTAAATAGTTAGAGATAGGTGTGGACTGAGGGAAGACAGGAGGATAAGGGGGTATTTGCACCCTGAGAATTTGTGATGTCCATTTTGATTCATGACTTGGCAATAACTCAGGTATTTTTGTTCTTCACCAGCAACACATTACATTTGGTCTCTACCACCAAAACGGAGGTGATCCCACCTCTCATTGAGAACAGGCAGTCCTGGTCAGTTTGCAAGCAAGTCTTTCCTGGCCTGAATTACTGCACCTCAGGCGCTTACTCCAACGCCAGCTCCACAGACTCCGCCTCCTACTATCCGCTGACCGGGGACACCAGGTTAGAGATGCTCAGTGCCTGACCCAGCATTTTCTCACCTTCCACATCATGGCCACCTAGCATGGCACAGGAAAAAATACTCTGTGTTGTAAGACCCTGTCACTAGCCTTCTGGGTTTGCACCATCTTTGGGTATTTAAAGCAGGGTCCTCTGGCCAACACATTGGGTGTCACCTTTTGCTTCCTTGTGCATGGGATGGGATCACAGCACAGATCCCAATTTGCTCCTAATTCAGTGTCCATGTTTCTGAGCCTCCAGACCCATCGCTATGAGCTTCCTGGAGCCCACCAATGTGCTTGAAGCCTTCACCGTACTTAGGTGGCTCCCTGTCTTCAGCCCCCAAGTTCCAGTGCTTGTTCTCAGCTTTGCTGAAACAACCAGCCAACTCCTGCTCTGCTTGTCCAAAGTCTTGGGAATCCTGGTGTCTGCCCTTGCCTTGGGTTCTTGTAGGACTGAGGGATCAAAAAGATCATCTTAGTTAAGGGCAAGAGACAATGTTAAAATAAGGACCATATTTTTGTTGCATTTGAGGCTGAATTGTTTTGGGAACATAATCACCATCCTTGAAAGCTCTAACATTATGCACTGTCTTCATTGTAATGTCTTTAGATTAGAGCTGGAACTGAGGCCTACAGGAGAGATTGAGCAGTATTCTGTCAGCGCAACCTATGAGCTCCAGAGAGAGGACAGAGCCTTGGTGGATACCCTGAAGTTTGTAACTCAAGCAGAAGGTGAGTATTCAAAACACAGCTGCCTCATCTCTGCTCGCAGTCTCAGGTTCAGAATTCATGAGGAGAAGACATGTAATTTAACCTATTTAACAAATAGGTTAACTGAGTACCCACTAAGCGGCAGGCCTATTCTAAGACCTGGGTTAACTGAGTACCCAATAAGCGGCAGGCCTATTCTAAGACCTGGGGCTAGAACAGTGAACAATGGAGTCTCTGCCTTCATGGAAGTTACAGTGAACAACCAAACAAGTTAATATTTGGAATATCAGATAAGTACTGAGGAGGAAAACAGAGCGTAGACTGGTCTATGGAGGGCTAGGAGTAGGAGGGAGGAAGAAGGGCAGGGAAAGCAGTGCATTTGGAATAATAAGGGAAAGTCTCCCTGGTAAAGTGAGCATAAGGAGACCTATCAGAAATAAGAGGAGAAGCCGTGTGGTAAGACTGTTAACAGGCAGAGGGACCAGCAAGTGCAAAGGCCCTGAGGCTGACACACTACTACCATGTTTCAAGGAAAGGAAGGAAGACAGTATGGCTGGAGCAGAAAGACCAGGGAGAAAAGAGGTAGAAGATGAGGACAGAGAGATATGGAGAGGTGAAGGAAGGATAATCTCATAGGCCATGGTAAGAACTTTGGCTTTTTCTATGAATTAAACGAAAGCCATTGGGGAGTCCTCATGATTTGATTTATGTTTATGTTGAGAAAAGACTATGGGCAGACAAGGGCAGAGAAACTAATATGTAGGTTATCACAATAATCCAGGCAGGAATCAGTGTTGTTTTGGATCAGGGCAATGGCAGAAGAGATATGAGAAGGGGATGGATTCTGGCCATATTTTGAAGATTAGGCTGACAAGATTTGCTGATACAGTGGATGTTGAGTGTAAGAGGAAAAGGGGAATGAAGACAAACCTAAGGTTTTTGGCCCGGGCAACTGAAAAATGGAACTTCCATTTATTGAGATGGAAAGGGCTACTGGAGGAGCAGGTTTTAGGGAATGGGAGAAATTTAGGTGTTCACTTTGGAAAAAAAATTATATAGGGATAGCGAGGAGCAGGTTTTAGGGAATGGGGCACATTTAGGTGTTCACTTTGGAAAAATTTTTATATAGGGATAGCATATCACAGAATTAAACTAGGAAGAAAATCCCATGATAGAAAGCACTGGAGGAGCAGGGCACGCTGGGGAAATAGTGTTTGGTAAACATTGTTTTACGAAGGATATAAAATGGACCAGCCTATGGATTGAAGGACGCCCGGGAATCTTGTTACAAAGAAAGGGGGAGTTGGGGAGATGGAGCCCAGGGCAAGGGCAGCAAGGAACCAGGACAGGCATCTTGGGTAGAAAGTAATATAGAGATGTCGTGTCTTCCTGGCCCAGAAGGGCTGCGAGCCTTTGCTGTTCCACAAACAAGCTAAGTGCTCCCCATTTCAGGGCCTTTGCATTCCTGACCTTCTGCCTGGAATGTGCTCCTCCCAGAACTCAGCGTGGCTCCAACCTCTTTTCATTCTGGTCTCTGCCCACATGTGCCCTTATCAGAGAGAATTTCTCTGACCACCAAGTATGAAATAACACTTCTTCTATCCCTTTCTTTTATCCTTGTATCCAGTTTTACTCTTCTTCATAACATTCATTACCATCTGACATGAGCAAGTTACTTGTTTATTGCCTGTACACCTCCCCCACTAGAAGGTAAGCCCCATGAAAGCAAGGATTCCCCAGTACCAAGAGCAGTGCCCAGCACACAATAGGCTCATAACAGGCAATCCATAAAGACTTGCATACATGAACACAACTGAGTTTAAAATTATCAGTAAATGAGACCCATTAAAAAATTTTAATGAGAAAAAAAAAATTCAGTAAAATCCTGAACTGTGTTTTTGTTTAAGCACATTGATTCCTTGGAGTTTCTCTACCTTTTCCTCTCTTTCCTTCCAAAACATAGCTTCTTTATTTATTTATTTATTTATTTGTTTGTTTATTTATTTATTTATTTATTTATTTATTTTTTGAGATGGAGTCTCGCTCTTTTGCCCAGGCTGCAGTGCAGTGGTGCCATCTCGGCTCACTGCAAGCCCCGCCTCCCGGGTTCATGCCATTCTCCTGCCTCAGCCTCCTGAGTAGCTGGGACTACAGGCACCCACCAACGCGCCCGGCTAATTTTTTGTATTTTTAGTAGAGACGGGGTTTCACCATGTTAGCCAGAATGGTCTTGATCTCCTGACCTCATGATCTGCCCGCCTTGGCCTCCCAAAGTGCTGGGATTACAGGTGTGAGCCACCGCACCCGGCCCAAAACATAGCTTCTTACCACACATCTCTTGATTCTCTTATACACTCGTCCAGGTGCGAAGCAGACTGAGGCTACCATGACATTCAAATATAATCGGCAGAGTATGACCTTGTCCAGTGAAGTCCAAATTCCGGATTTTGATGTTGACCTCGGAACAATCCTCAGAGTTAATGATGAATCTACTGAGGGCAAAACGTCTTACAGACTCACCCTGGACATTCAGAACAAGAAAATTACTGAGGTCGCCCTCATGGGCCACCTAAGGTAAAGAAGGCCGAGGGTCATCTGACCTGCACTGCAGGCCTGGGTGGTTCTTTTCATTATTCCTCTTCCACTTCATACCTGACCAAGCCATGTTCTCCCCTAGTCTACAATCAGAGTGGCAGAGAGAGCCCTCAACAATTTTTTTTTTTTTTGAGATGGAGTCTCACTCTGTCACCAGGCTGGAGTGCAGTGGCACAATCTCGGCTCACTGCAACCTCCGCCTCCCGAGTTCAAGTGATTCTCCTGCTTAAGCCTCCCAAGGAGCTGGAACTATAGGTGCATGCCACCACACCCAGCTAATTTTTATATTTTTAGTAGAGACAGGGTTTCACCATATTGACCAGGATGGTCTCGATCTCCTGACCTCGTGATCCACCTGCCTTGGCCTCCCAAAGTGCTGGGATTACAGGTGTAAGCCACTGCACCCGGCCAAGCTCTCAACATTTTAACCCTCTGCGCATGTCCAGTTGGATTTTCCTACCATTTATCAGGCACTTACTATTCATGTATCAAGCACAGTGCTGGGTGCTTTAAAGAAATTATCTCGGTCCTCACAATAAACTGCGAGGTCACTGTGAGTTTTCCTGTTTCATGGATAAGGAAATGGTAGCTCAGAGGGGTTAAATCATTTGGTCAAAATCACAGAGCTAGTAAATAGCAGAGCAGGATTCAAACAGTTTTCAAAAAACTTCTCTTTCTCCTAAACCTGTTTGCAAAGTCCTTAATTTGTGCTGAATGTTGGCTTTAGAAGTTGATGAGTTTGATCTGTGGCTGTTTCTCTGAACCATCCTTGTATCTGGTTTTGATCACCACAAATGGAACTTCTGTTTAATCCTGCATATCTCCATTGAAAGGACAAAATCATTGGTGCCAACTGATTTTCTTTACCATAGTTGTGACACAAAGGAAGAAAGAAAAATCAAGGGTGTTATTTCCATACCCCGTTTGCAAGCAGAAGCCAGAAGTGAGATCCTCGCCCACTGGTCGCCTGCCAAACTGCTTCTCCAAATGGACTCATCTGCTACAGCTTATGGCTCCACAGTTTCCAAGAGGGTGGCATGGCATTATGGTATGTGTCTCTTCCCCTGTGTGAGCACTTCCAAAGTAATGCAGGTGTTGAGACCTGTGGTTACAGGCTGAACTAGTACCATTCACAACTATTTCCTACGTATTTTCAGATGAAGAGAAGATTGAATTTGAATGGAACACAGGCACCAATGTAGATACCAAAAAAATGACTTCCAATTTCCCTGTGGATCTCTCCGATTATCCTAAGAGCTTGCATATGTATGCTAATAGACTCCTGGATCACAGAGTCCCTCAAACAGACATGACTTTCCGGCACGTGGGTTCCAAATTAATAGTTGTAAGTATGAGTCTGCCAGTCAATAAATACATGGATATAAGTGCTAATTACATCCTCAACTCTGAGCTAGGTGCAGGAAGGTTTCCAAAGATGTATAAGGCATGCTTCCTTCCCCCCAGGGAATTCTTGGGGAGAAAAAAAAACTTTCACAAGTGTGTAGTTACCCAGTTACACAAAGCTGAATGTGATACATATCAAAGAGATGCTACTAAGTAGAACAGTTCTTTGCCTAGTGGTATCAAAGGAAGCTTCAGGACACCAGCTAGGAGGCTGACTATGTTAGACATTCCTTTTATAAATATGGACAGTGATCAGTGACTGGCAACGAAGATTCATAATTTTCTGTTATTTATTTTTAACTTTCAGTGCATTGTCCAGCTTAATAATTAACTTGTCAAATCGGTATTTTTGCCTAATGTTCATTGCTCTTTGAGGCTCATCCAAGCCCATTACCTTAAAAATCTCCTGTCATTTTGTAGGCAATGAGCTCATGGCTTCAGAAGGCATCTGGGAGTCTTCCTTATACCCAGACTTTGCAAGACCACCTCAATAGCCTGAAGGAGTTCAACCTCCAGAACATGGGATTGCCAGACTTCCACATCCCAGAAAACCTCTTCTTAAAAAGGTAAAAGAAGAAAGCAGCAAGGCTTCTTGAACCATGCAAAGTAAATGAAAGATTTTACATAGCATGATTTAGACATTTTTTTAAATTTTTAAAGGAAATAATTTAAGCATTTTAAGGAGATTAATAACTATAGCACAAACACTGTGGCATCTTTGCATTAGTAAACATGAGAACACCAACCCTGTCAGGAAGAATCTAAGAAAGTCATTAGAGGATTCTGGTACTTTCACCCTAAGATATTTTATTCAGTACAACCTGTTATAAGCAAATTCTCCCTCTGACTGTGAAGAATTCAGAATGGCTAGAGGCGTTATTGACTACAGGCTTGCTGTTAAGCTAGAGAGAGTCAGAACAGCCATTGAGCACTAAATGGAGGCAGCATTCTGAGAAAATACTTTAACCCAGGCTTACTGACTTCCATACCTATGTTCTTTCCACAAATCAAGTTGTCTCAATTCAGTTTAGCAAATTTGTATCAAGTATCCCCTATGTGCAAAATGCTAGACTAGGTACAGTGAGAAGATAGAAACTGGGTAAGGTATAGCCTTTTCTTTCAAGAAGATACCATGGAGACATCAACAAATGAGAAATAATTAATTATATAAGCAAAATTATGACATGCTCTTTGAGAAAGGTGCAAGGGACTATGTAACTGTAAGAATGAGACAAATTGGCTATGACTTAGGTGGGATGGTAATGATAAGGAGTGGCCCTTAGAAGAGCTTTGTCAGGATTTGAGTGTTTGACAGGTGGAGGTAAAAGCAAAGGGGTCCAGGCATAGGAGTAGCACAAAGAAAAGTGCAGAGTGGCTTTGGGAATGGGGCAAGTACAATATTGTTGTGAAGGTCAGAGGCAGAGAACTTTGAATGACTGATGTCTGACTGTGGGGATGTTATCTTTGTTGTTCATTTCAGCGATGGCCGGGTCAAATATACCTTGAACAAGAACAGTTTGAAAATTGAGATTCCTTTGCCTTTTGGTGGCAAATCCTCCAGAGATCTAAAGATGTTAGAGACTGTTAGGACACCAGCCCTCCACTTCAAGTCTGTGGGATTCCATCTGCCATCTCGAGAGTTCCAAGTCCCTACTTTTACCATTCCCAAGTTGTATCAACTGCAAGTGCCTCTCCTGGGTGTTCTAGACCTCTCCACGAATGTCTACAGCAACTTGTACAACTGGTCCGCCTCCTACAGTGGTGGCAACACCAGCACAGACCATTTCAGCCTTCGGGCTCGTTACCACATGAAGGCTGACTCTGTGGTTGACCTGCTTTCCTACAATGTGCAAGGTGAGCTATGCTCAGGTAAAGGGTGCACCGGGCTAGTTCATGGCAGGCTCTAAGAGGAGAGCCTCCTCCAGGGAGGAAAGGACTTTGGCTTTCTAGCAGATAATCTTCCTTGCTACTTGGAAGTCTTTTATTTTATTCAACAAATAGAAATATTTATTAAACATATCACGTGTATTAAATATTCTAGTAGGCAGTAACAGAAAGTAGACAGATAAGCCAGCAATTATAATTCAGTGTGAGAGGTGCTATGATAAAGTGTAGTATATAAGTATAAGGTAGAGTGGAAGCACTCAACAAGGGAACCTAAACAAAGCCTGTGGTGGTCAGGCAAGGCTTCCTGGAGGAATGCCTTTTGCTATCAGATTTTATCTTTGCATTACAGATGGAGGAGTCTATTGCACAATTGGCCCAGAAAAATGGGGCTTTATTATTGAAAGACTTTCAACATAGAGATTGCTCTGGAAATGTACTGCTTAATTTAACCAATGTCTTTTCATTTTTATGTTAGGATCTGGAGAAACAACATATGACCACAAGAATACGTTCACACTATCATGTGATGGGTCTCTACGCCACAAATTTCTAGATTCGAATATCAAATTCAGTCATGTAGAAAAACTTGGAAACAACCCAGTCTCAAAAGGTTTACTAATATTCGATGCATCTAGTTCCTGGGGACCACAGATGTCTGCTTCAGTTCATTTGGACTCCAAAAAGAAACAGCATTTGTTTGTCAAAGAAGTCAAGATTGATGGGCAGTTCAGAGTCTCTTCGTTCTATGCTAAAGGCACATATGGCCTGTCTTGTCAGAGGGATCCTAACACTGGCCGGCTCAATGGAGAGTCCAACCTGAGGTTTAACTCCTCCTACCTCCAAGGCACCAACCAGATAACAGGAAGATATGAAGATGGAACCCTCTCCCTCACCTCCACCTCTGATCTGCAAAGTGGCATCATTAAAAATACTGCTTCCCTAAAGTATGAGAACTACGAGCTGACTTTAAAATCTGACACCAATGGGAAGTATAAGAACTTTGCCACTTCTAACAAGATGGATATGACCTTCTCTAAGCAAAATGCACTGCTGCGTTCTGAATATCAGGCTGATTACGAGTCATTGAGGTTCTTCAGCCTGCTTTCTGGATCACTAAATTCCCATGGTCTTGAGTTAAATGCTGACATCTTAGGCACTGACAAAATTAATAGTGGTGCTCACAAGGCGACACTAAGGATTGGCCAAGATGGAATATCTACCAGTGCAACGACCAACTTGAAGTGTAGTCTCCTGGTGCTGGAGAATGAGCTGAATGCAGAGCTTGGCCTCTCTGGGGCATCTATGAAATTAACAACAAATGGCCGCTTCAGGGAACACAATGCAAAATTCAGTCTGGATGGGAAAGCCGCCCTCACAGAGCTATCACTGGGAAGTGCTTATCAGGCCATGATTCTGGGTGTCGACAGCAAAAACATTTTCAACTTCAAGGTCAGTCAAGAAGGACTTAAGCTCTCAAATGACATGATGGGCTCATATGCTGAAATGAAATTTGACCACACAAACAGTCTGAACATTGCAGGCTTATCACTGGACTTCTCTTCAAAACTTGACAACATTTACAGCTCTGACAAGTTTTATAAGCAAACTGTTAATTTACAGCTACAGCCCTATTCTCTGGTAACTACTTTAAACAGTGACCTGAAATACAATGCTCTGGATCTCACCAACAATGGGAAACTACGGCTAGAACCCCTGAAGCTGCATGTGGCTGGTAACCTAAAAGGAGCCTACCAAAATAATGAAATAAAACACATCTATGCCATCTCTTCTGCTGCCTTATCAGCAAGCTATAAAGCAGACACTGTTGCTAAGGTTCAGGGTGTGGAGTTTAGCCATCGGCTCAACACAGACATCGCTGGGCTGGCTTCAGCCATTGACATGAGCACAAACTATAATTCAGACTCACTGCATTTCAGCAATGTCTTCCGTTCTGTAATGGCCCCGTTTACCATGACCATCGATGCACATACAAATGGCAATGGGAAACTCGCTCTCTGGGGAGAACATACTGGGCAGCTGTATAGCAAATTCCTGTTGAAAGCAGAACCTCTGGCATTTACTTTCTCTCATGATTACAAAGGCTCCACAAGTCATCATCTCGTGTCTAGGAAAAGCATCAGTGCAGCTCTTGAACACAAAGTCAGTGCCCTGCTTACTCCAGCTGAGCAGACAGGCACCTGGAAACTCAAGACCCAATTTAACAACAATGAATACAGCCAGGACTTGGATGCTTACAACACTAAAGATAAAATTGGCGTGGAGCTTACTGGACGAACTCTGGCTGACCTAACTCTACTAGACTCCCCAATTAAAGTGCCACTTTTACTCAGTGAGCCCATCAATATCATTGATGCTTTAGAGATGAGAGATGCCGTTGAGAAGCCCCAAGAATTTACAATTGTTGCTTTTGTAAAGTATGATAAAAACCAAGATGTTCACTCCATTAACCTCCCATTTTTTGAGACCTTGCAAGAATATTTTGAGAGGAATCGACAAACCATTATAGTTGTACTGGAAAACGTACAGAGAAACCTGAAGCACATCAATATTGATCAATTTGTAAGAAAATACAGAGCAGCCCTGGGAAAACTCCCACAGCAAGCTAATGATTATCTGAATTCATTCAATTGGGAGAGACAAGTTTCACATGCCAAGGAGAAACTGACTGCTCTCACAAAAAAGTATAGAATTACAGAAAATGATATACAAATTGCATTAGATGATGCCAAAATCAACTTTAATGAAAAACTATCTCAACTGCAGACATATATGATACAATTTGATCAGTATATTAAAGATAGTTATGATTTACATGATTTGAAAATAGCTATTGCTAATATTATTGATGAAATCATTGAAAAATTAAAAAGTCTTGATGAGCACTATCATATCCGTGTAAATTTAGTAAAAACAATCCATGATCTACATTTGTTTATTGAAAATATTGATTTTAACAAAAGTGGAAGTAGTACTGCATCCTGGATTCAAAATGTGGATACTAAGTACCAAATCAGAATCCAGATACAAGAAAAACTGCAGCAGCTTAAGAGACACATACAGAATATAGACATCCAGCACCTAGCTGGAAAGTTAAAACAACACATTGAGGCTATTGATGTTAGAGTGCTTTTAGATCAATTGGGAACTACAATTTCATTTGAAAGAATAAATGACATTCTTGAGCATGTCAAACACTTTGTTATAAATCTTATTGGGGATTTTGAAGTAGCTGAGAAAATCAATGCCTTCAGAGCCAAAGTCCATGAGTTAATCGAGAGGTATGAAGTAGACCAACAAATCCAGGTTTTAATGGATAAATTAGTAGAGTTGGCCCACCAATACAAGTTGAAGGAGACTATTCAGAAGCTAAGCAATGTCCTACAACAAGTTAAGATAAAAGATTACTTTGAGAAATTGGTTGGATTTATTGATGATGCTGTCAAGAAGCTTAATGAATTATCTTTTAAAACATTCATTGAAGATGTTAACAAATTCCTTGACATGTTGATAAAGAAATTAAAGTCATTTGATTACCACCAGTTTGTAGATGAAACCAATGACAAAATCCGTGAGGTGACTCAGAGACTCAATGGTGAAATTCAGGCTCTGGAACTACCACAAAAAGCTGAAGCATTAAAACTGTTTTTAGAGGAAACCAAGGCCACAGTTGCAGTGTATCTGGAAAGCCTACAGGACACCAAAATAACCTTAATCATCAATTGGTTACAGGAGGCTTTAAGTTCAGCATCTTTGGCTCACATGAAGGCCAAATTCCGAGAGACCCTAGAAGATACACGAGACCGAATGTATCAAATGGACATTCAGCAGGAACTTCAACGATACCTGTCTCTGGTAGGCCAGGTTTATAGCACACTTGTCACCTACATTTCTGATTGGTGGACTCTTGCTGCTAAGAACCTTACTGACTTTGCAGAGCAATATTCTATCCAAGATTGGGCTAAACGTATGAAAGCATTGGTAGAGCAAGGGTTCACTGTTCCTGAAATCAAGACCATCCTTGGGACCATGCCTGCCTTTGAAGTCAGTCTTCAGGCTCTTCAGAAAGCTACCTTCCAGACACCTGATTTTATAGTCCCCCTAACAGATTTGAGGATTCCATCAGTTCAGATAAACTTCAAAGACTTAAAAAATATAAAAATCCCATCCAGGTTTTCCACACCAGAATTTACCATCCTTAACACCTTCCACATTCCTTCCTTTACAATTGACTTTGTAGAAATGAAAGTAAAGATCATCAGAACCATTGACCAGATGCTGAACAGTGAGCTGCAGTGGCCCGTTCCAGATATATATCTCAGGGATCTGAAGGTGGAGGACATTCCTCTAGCGAGAATCACCCTGCCAGACTTCCGTTTACCAGAAATCGCAATTCCAGAATTCATAATCCCAACTCTCAACCTTAATGATTTTCAAGTTCCTGACCTTCACATACCAGAATTCCAGCTTCCCCACATCTCACACACAATTGAAGTACCTACTTTTGGCAAGCTATACAGTATTCTGAAAATCCAATCTCCTCTTTTCACATTAGATGCAAATGCTGACATAGGGAATGGAACCACCTCAGCAAACGAAGCAGGTATCGCAGCTTCCATCACTGCCAAAGGAGAGTCCAAATTAGAAGTTCTCAATTTTGATTTTCAAGCAAATGCACAACTCTCAAACCCTAAGATTAATCCGCTGGCTCTGAAGGAGTCAGTGAAGTTCTCCAGCAAGTACCTGAGAACGGAGCATGGGAGTGAAATGCTGTTTTTTGGAAATGCTATTGAGGGAAAATCAAACACAGTGGCAAGTTTACACACAGAAAAAAATACACTGGAGCTTAGTAATGGAGTGATTGTCAAGATAAACAATCAGCTTACCCTGGATAGCAACACTAAATACTTCCACAAATTGAACATCCCCAAACTGGACTTCTCTAGTCAGGCTGACCTGCGCAACGAGATCAAGACACTGTTGAAAGCTGGCCACATAGCATGGACTTCTTCTGGAAAAGGGTCATGGAAATGGGCCTGCCCCAGATTCTCAGATGAGGGAACACATGAATCACAAATTAGTTTCACCATAGAAGGACCCCTCACTTCCTTTGGACTGTCCAATAAGATCAATAGCAAACACCTAAGAGTAAACCAAAACTTGGTTTATGAATCTGGCTCCCTCAACTTTTCTAAACTTGAAATTCAATCACAAGTCGATTCCCAGCATGTGGGCCACAGTGTTCTAACTGCTAAAGGCATGGCACTGTTTGGAGAAGGGAAGGCAGAGTTTACTGGGAGGCATGATGCTCATTTAAATGGAAAGGTTATTGGAACTTTGAAAAATTCTCTTTTCTTTTCAGCCCAGCCATTTGAGATCACGGCATCCACAAACAATGAAGGGAATTTGAAAGTTCGTTTTCCATTAAGGTTAACAGGGAAGATAGACTTCCTGAATAACTATGCACTGTTTCTGAGTCCCAGTGCCCAGCAAGCAAGTTGGCAAGTAAGTGCTAGGTTCAATCAGTATAAGTACAACCAAAATTTCTCTGCTGGAAACAACGAGAACATTATGGAGGCCCATGTAGGAATAAATGGAGAAGCAAATCTGGATTTCTTAAACATTCCTTTAACAATTCCTGAAATGCGTCTACCTTACACA
Organism: Homo sapiens; assembly: GCF_000001405.40. Lineage (NCBI taxonomy): Eukaryota > Metazoa > Chordata > Mammalia > Primates > Hominidae > Homo > Homo sapiens. The sequence continues at coordinate 21,007,447 of NC_000002.12, read as the reverse complement.
ATAATCACAACTCCTCCACTGAAAGATTTCTCTCTATGGGAAAAAACAGGCTTGAAGGAATTCTTGAAAACGACAAAGCAATCATTTGATTTAAGTGTAAAAGCTCAGTATAAGAAAAACAAACACAGGCATTCCATCACAAATCCTTTGGCTGTGCTTTGTGAGTTTATCAGTCAGAGCATCAAATCCTTTGACAGGCATTTTGAAAAAAACAGAAACAATGCATTAGATTTTGTCACCAAATCCTATAATGAAACAAAAATTAAGTTTGATAAGTACAAAGCTGAAAAATCTCACGACGAGCTCCCCAGGACCTTTCAAATTCCTGGATACACTGTTCCAGTTGTCAATGTTGAAGTGTCTCCATTCACCATAGAGATGTCGGCATTCGGCTATGTGTTCCCAAAAGCAGTCAGCATGCCTAGTTTCTCCATCCTAGGTTCTGACGTCCGTGTGCCTTCATACACATTAATCCTGCCATCATTAGAGCTGCCAGTCCTTCATGTCCCTAGAAATCTCAAGCTTTCTCTTCCAGATTTCAAGGAATTGTGTACCATAAGCCATATTTTTATTCCTGCCATGGGCAATATTACCTATGATTTCTCCTTTAAATCAAGTGTCATCACACTGAATACCAATGCTGAACTTTTTAACCAGTCAGATATTGTTGCTCATCTCCTTTCTTCATCTTCATCTGTCATTGATGCACTGCAGTACAAATTAGAGGGCACCACAAGATTGACAAGAAAAAGGGGATTGAAGTTAGCCACAGCTCTGTCTCTGAGCAACAAATTTGTGGAGGGTAGTCATAACAGTACTGTGAGCTTAACCACGAAAAATATGGAAGTGTCAGTGGCAACAACCACAAAAGCCCAAATTCCAATTTTGAGAATGAATTTCAAGCAAGAACTTAATGGAAATACCAAGTCAAAACCTACTGTCTCTTCCTCCATGGAATTTAAGTATGATTTCAATTCTTCAATGCTGTACTCTACCGCTAAAGGAGCAGTTGACCACAAGCTTAGCTTGGAAAGCCTCACCTCTTACTTTTCCATTGAGTCATCTACCAAAGGAGATGTCAAGGGTTCGGTTCTTTCTCGGGAATATTCAGGAACTATTGCTAGTGAGGCCAACACTTACTTGAATTCCAAGAGCACACGGTCTTCAGTGAAGCTGCAGGGCACTTCCAAAATTGATGATATCTGGAACCTTGAAGTAAAAGAAAATTTTGCTGGAGAAGCCACACTCCAACGCATATATTCCCTCTGGGAGCACAGTACGAAAAACCACTTACAGCTAGAGGGCCTCTTTTTCACCAACGGAGAACATACAAGCAAAGCCACCCTGGAACTCTCTCCATGGCAAATGTCAGCTCTTGTTCAGGTCCATGCAAGTCAGCCCAGTTCCTTCCATGATTTCCCTGACCTTGGCCAGGAAGTGGCCCTGAATGCTAACACTAAGAACCAGAAGATCAGATGGAAAAATGAAGTCCGGATTCATTCTGGGTCTTTCCAGAGCCAGGTCGAGCTTTCCAATGACCAAGAAAAGGCACACCTTGACATTGCAGGATCCTTAGAAGGACACCTAAGGTTCCTCAAAAATATCATCCTACCAGTCTATGACAAGAGCTTATGGGATTTCCTAAAGCTGGATGTAACCACCAGCATTGGTAGGAGACAGCATCTTCGTGTTTCAACTGCCTTTGTGTACACCAAAAACCCCAATGGCTATTCATTCTCCATCCCTGTAAAAGTTTTGGCTGATAAATTCATTATTCCTGGGCTGAAACTAAATGATCTAAATTCAGTTCTTGTCATGCCTACGTTCCATGTCCCATTTACAGATCTTCAGGTTCCATCGTGCAAACTTGACTTCAGAGAAATACAAATCTATAAGAAGCTGAGAACTTCATCATTTGCCCTCAACCTACCAACACTCCCCGAGGTAAAATTCCCTGAAGTTGATGTGTTAACAAAATATTCTCAACCAGAAGACTCCTTGATTCCCTTTTTTGAGATAACCGTGCCTGAATCTCAGTTAACTGTGTCCCAGTTCACGCTTCCAAAAAGTGTTTCAGATGGCATTGCTGCTTTGGATCTAAATGCAGTAGCCAACAAGATCGCAGACTTTGAGTTGCCCACCATCATCGTGCCTGAGCAGACCATTGAGATTCCCTCCATTAAGTTCTCTGTACCTGCTGGAATTGTCATTCCTTCCTTTCAAGCACTGACTGCACGCTTTGAGGTAGACTCTCCCGTGTATAATGCCACTTGGAGTGCCAGTTTGAAAAACAAAGCAGATTATGTTGAAACAGTCCTGGATTCCACATGCAGCTCAACCGTACAGTTCCTAGAATATGAACTAAATGGTAAGAAATATCCTGCCTCCTCTCCTAGATACTGTATATTTTCAATGAGAGTTATGAGTAAATAATTATGTATTTAGTTGTGAGTAGATGTACAATTACTCAATGTCACAAAATTTTAAGTAAGAAAAGAGATACATGTATACCCTACACGTAAAAACCAAACTGTAGAAAATCTAGTGTCATTCAAGACAAACAGCTTTAAAGAAAATGGATTTTTCTGTAATTATTTTAGGACTAACAATGTCTTTTAACTATTTATTTTAAAATAAGTGTGAGCTGTACATTGCATATTTTAAACACAAGTGAAATATCTGGTTAGGATAGAATTCTCCCAGTTTTCACAATGAAAACATCAACGTCCTACTGTTATGAATCTAATAAAATACAAAATCTCTCCTATACAGTTTTGGGAACACACAAAATCGAAGATGGTACGTTAGCCTCTAAGACTAAAGGAACATTTGCACACCGTGACTTCAGTGCAGAATATGAAGAAGATGGCAAATATGAAGGACTTCAGTATGGAGCTTTTATTGAATTGAAACCTTATACCTTTTGAAAACTCATTGTGATTTTCTTCATCTCCATACCCCTTTCGTGATAGCTCATCTGTTTTTCTGCTTTCAGGGAATGGGAAGGAAAAGCGCACCTCAATATCAAAAGCCCAGCGTTCACCGATCTCCATCTGCGCTACCAGAAAGACAAGAAAGGCATCTCCACCTCAGCAGCCTCCCCAGCCGTAGGCACCGTGGGCATGGATATGGATGAAGATGACGACTTTTCTAAATGGAACTTCTACTACAGCCCTCAGGTAAATACCACCTAATGAGTGACACGCCCCCAAGAGCGAGTGGAGAATTGGGGCAGATACATTTAATTCAGGACCAAATATTCAGAGATTCCCCAAACTAGGTGAAAGACAGGCGGTAAGCAACTTCTTCTCTGAGGAAATATTCTCTAGAAAGTATTACAATGAGTCCTTGATTGATTTTAATGTTTAGATGCACACATGACATCCCATCAGCACTATTATTTATTAATTCTGGGCAAATCCAGGAAGATGAGGGTTATACCTCATCATCTAAATCATAGGCAAGCTCAGCCATAGGCAGGGTATATTTTTCAGAGAGGACTGGTTTCTGTAGTATTTAAAACTTTAAAATTCTTCCCCACAATAGAATTGCTAGATGAGATACATCAAATTCCTCTCATGTCATTTACAAGCTCTGCCAGGGCCAAATCAAGGGTGACATTACCAGAGGAGAAGACCAAACATGGTTCTATGACTGTTACTAAAAGTTTGTCATGGGCTTGGAGAATGCGTACTGATGTTGGGATTCTGGGTCTCTGCAGGGTGGGCTCCAACTTGCCTTTTTTGCTATTTCTTCTTTTCCTATCTGTCATTTCCTGACTCTTCTTCTCTCTCCTCTTCTTTCTCTTCCCCCCACTCCTCTTCCAGTTTTCAGTCCTAGGAAGGCTTTAATTTTAAGTGTCACAATGTAAATGACAAACAGCAAGCGTTTTTGTTAAATCCTTTCTGGGGCATGTGATAAAGAGAAATTAACAACAGTAGACTTATTTAACCATAAAACAAACACATGAACTGACATATGAAAGATAAATCCCTTTCAGTATATGAAAGATTCTCTGATCTTTATTTTTAACTGCTAATGAAGTTTTAGTGTACTATATTGTGTAATTGGAGTAATTGAAAACATGTTATTTTTTTTTTTCTCTCTGTTTAGTCCTCTCCAGATAAAAAACTCACCATATTCAAAACTGAGTTGAGGGTCCGGGAATCTGATGAGGAAACTCAGATCAAAGTTAATTGGGAAGAAGAGGCAGCTTCTGGCTTGCTAACCTCTCTGAAAGACAACGTGCCCAAGGCCACAGGGGTCCTTTATGATTATGTCAACAAGTACCACTGGGAACACACAGGGCTCACCCTGAGAGAAGTGTCTTCAAAGCTGAGAAGAAATCTGCAGAACAATGCTGAGTGGGTTTATCAAGGGGCCATTAGGCAAATTGATGATATCGACGTGAGGTTCCAGAAAGCAGCCAGTGGCACCACTGGGACCTACCAAGAGTGGAAGGACAAGGCCCAGAATCTGTACCAGGAACTGTTGACTCAGGAAGGCCAAGCCAGTTTCCAGGGACTCAAGGATAACGTGTTTGATGGCTTGGTACGAGTTACTCAAGAATTCCATATGAAAGTCAAGCATCTGATTGACTCACTCATTGATTTTCTGAACTTCCCCAGATTCCAGTTTCCGGGGAAACCTGGGATATACACTAGGGAGGAACTTTGCACTATGTTCATAAGGGAGGTAGGGACGGTACTGTCCCAGGTATATTCGAAAGTCCATAATGGTTCAGAAATACTGTTTTCCTATTTCCAAGACCTAGTGATTACACTTCCTTTCGAGTTAAGGAAACATAAACTAATAGATGTAATCTCGATGTATAGGGAACTGTTGAAAGATTTATCAAAAGAAGCCCAAGAGGTATTTAAAGCCATTCAGTCTCTCAAGACCACAGAGGTGCTACGTAATCTTCAGGACCTTTTACAATTCATTTTCCAACTAATAGAAGATAACATTAAACAGCTGAAAGAGATGAAATTTACTTATCTTATTAATTATATCCAAGATGAGATCAACACAATCTTCAGTGATTATATCCCATATGTTTTTAAATTGTTGAAAGAAAACCTATGCCTTAATCTTCATAAGTTCAATGAATTTATTCAAAACGAGCTTCAGGAAGCTTCTCAAGAGTTACAGCAGATCCATCAATACATTATGGCCCTTCGTGAAGAATATTTTGATCCAAGTATAGTTGGCTGGACAGTGAAATATTATGAACTTGAAGAAAAGATAGTCAGTCTGATCAAGAACCTGTTAGTTGCTCTTAAGGACTTCCATTCTGAATATATTGTCAGTGCCTCTAACTTTACTTCCCAACTCTCAAGTCAAGTTGAGCAATTTCTGCACAGAAATATTCAGGAATATCTTAGCATCCTTACCGATCCAGATGGAAAAGGGAAAGAGAAGATTGCAGAGCTTTCTGCCACTGCTCAGGAAATAATTAAAAGCCAGGCCATTGCGACGAAGAAAATAATTTCTGATTACCACCAGCAGTTTAGATATAAACTGCAAGATTTTTCAGACCAACTCTCTGATTACTATGAAAAATTTATTGCTGAATCCAAAAGATTGATTGACCTGTCCATTCAAAACTACCACACATTTCTGATATACATCACGGAGTTACTGAAAAAGCTGCAATCAACCACAGTCATGAACCCCTACATGAAGCTTGCTCCAGGAGAACTTACTATCATCCTCTAATTTTTTAAAAGAAATCTTCATTTATTCTTCTTTTCCAATTGAACTTTCACATAGCACAGAAAAAATTCAAACTGCCTATATTGATAAAACCATACAGTGAGCCAGCCTTGCAGTAGGCAGTAGACTATAAGCAGAAGCACATATGAACTGGACCTGCACCAAAGCTGGCACCAGGGCTCGGAAGGTCTCTGAACTCAGAAGGATGGCATTTTTTGCAAGTTAAAGAAAATCAGGATCTGAGTTATTTTGCTAAACTTGGGGGAGGAGGAACAAATAAATGGAGTCTTTATTGTGTATCATACCACTGAATGTGGCTCATTTGTATTGAAAGACAGTGAAACGAGGGCATTGATAAAATGTTCTGGCACAGCAAAACCTCTAGAACACATAGTGTGATTTAAGTAACAGAATAAAAATGGAAACGGAGAAATTATGGAGGGAAATATTTTGCAAAAATATTTAAAAAGATGAGGTAATTGTGTTTTTATAATTAAATATTTTATAATTAAAATATTTATAATTAAAATATTTATAATTAAATATTTTATAATTAAAATATTTATAATTAAATATTTTATAATTAAAGTATTTATAATTAAATATTTTATAATTAAAATATTTATAATTAAATATTTTATAATTAAAATATTTATAATTAAATATTTTATAATTAAAATATTTATAATTAAATATTTTATAATTAAAATGTTTATAATTAAATATTTTATAATTAAAATGTTTATAATTACATATTTTATAATTAAAATGTTTATAATTACATATTTTATAATTAAAATGTTTATAATTACATATTTTATAATTAAAATGTTTATAATTACATATTTTATAATTAAAATGTTTATAATTACATATTTTATAATTACATATTTTATAAAGTATTTATAATTACATATTTTATAATTAAAGTATTTATAATTACATATTTTATAATTAAAGTATTTATAATTACATATTTTATAATTCAATATTTTATAAATAGTTAAAAAGACGAGGAAAAAATTAAAAAGACGAGGTTATTGATCTCAGGAATTGTATTTGCCAAGTGAGAAGGAAAAAATATTCACAAAGGCTTGTACATACTTTGATCCTGAGGAACACCTCTGGTGTCTTCATGTGCCACATAGTCTTCCTCACTGACTGTCTGCCTTTGCAAGGCAAGGCTCTCCGGTAGGCCTCGAGATGAAATAACAAGTCCTTTATTTCACTCAGCCTGCCAGGAGTGGAGAAGGAATGGCTAGGGAGTCCTAGCCCCAGGGGCTTCATGGCAATACGGACCCCAGATGTCTCCCTGGAGCTCTGCCAGGATCCATTCAAGGCCAAGAAAGTATGATTGGGAGAGGAGGGGTGGAGATGTAGATTCCTAACAATTCTGTGACCCAGCATACATGTATGCTCTTTAGGCTCTTAAGCATCCTTATTTTTCCAAATATAATATCCAACAATCCCAAGTGTAGTAAAAACCCAAGGGTTTCTCCTGCCACATCCACTCACTTCAAACTCTGATTTTAAACACTGGCAATATCCAGTCAGAGCCTCCAAGCTGAGCTCTAGAAAGAGAAAGCTGCAAAAAACCTGTGCAACAAAACTTGCACTCATATTACTGACAAGGGTAGATATAAAACAGCGCATTCTTTTCCATGACACTGAAGAGCAAAGAAGAGTGTAACTTGGGGGCAATAAGAAATTGGAGGTCACCACCTCCCAAATCCTACATGAGGTCTATTTGGAAAAGACCTCCTTTTTTAATTCAAAAATCCTTCAACCTCCACCATTCTTTCATAAAGCTTCACATTCTCTTGGTGAAGCCCACTGTTAAAATGCACAGGCGTTACCTGGAAAAGGAAACACATAGCCTTAACAATATTCTTCTGTACTGAACTGAAGAGTGAGAAAGAGTCTATGGAGCTATAATACGGTAGTGTATGAATCTGGTACTCAAGGAAAGTCTGTTGGATAATGGATGGATGGATGGATGGATGGATGGGTGGGTGAGCGAATAAATGAGTGGATAAATGAGGGGTCAGTTTTGAGAGTGAGAGAAACATGGAAATTAGACTCAAATCCCAAGGCACCACATGGAATAGTTCCAGGAATAGTTCTGCAAGAGTTTCCCTGATGAGCTATAAGCAGCAAAAATTTAGTGAGTGTTCAAACTGAAAGGAGGCCTGGAATTGTGGCTTAATTTGGAGGGAAAGAGGGAGTCCAAGATTCCCAGTGCTTATTTGTTGATATCTATCTAGTGCTGAAAAGAAAAAAAAATAGCCACAAATCCAAAATGATTGTGCAGTCACATGGTACCCACTGCCCAGTTCCTTGACCAGTGTCCCTCATACAAAGGGCCCCTGATGAGCTCAGAATGTCTTTGTTGTACTGAATAAAGTTTGAAGAACAAGGGATCCTTGTGGGGACTTGGACTTTGCCTGCTCCCTTCTTAGGTCTTCTACTGCATATCTGGATACTTCTCTGGTTCAATTAATAGCTACATTTTTTATTTGCTTGTACTCAGTGCAACTTATTTCACCTCTGCAAGCCTCAGTTCTCTTACCTATGAAATGGAGATAATATCTATCCTGCCTGCCTTGCAGGACTTTTCATGAAAATCAGTTGAAATAACATATATGAGAGTTCTGCAACCTTTAATGTCCTGTAGAGAAAAGCTGCCATTATCATTAGATGATTATTAAAATGACGTTATGGCAAGAAGAAAGAATGGAGGCAGGGCTACGTGTCTGGTTCAGTGTGCATTGATAAAACACCTCTATGTGTAAGGCACTGTGCAGTGGCTCTATAGAGGAGACAGAGATCAATAAGATGCAGTTCCTGGAGGTCTGTCTGCCCATTTATCTGTCAAAGGTGAAACGTGTTTTCTCATGGTGGATATAACCAAAGTACTATGAGGGATTTAAAAGAGGAAAGTTGTGAATCAGGGGATTTTTATAGAAAAGATTGAAATGGATCTCGAATATACATTGACTTTAATAAACAGATGAGAGAGAGGGTGGTCTAGGAAGAAGACGAGTAAAGAATGATAGTTGGGTGTGTTGTAAGGACACTGGATTATCTAGTTTAGCCAAAGCACAGGAAAGGTAAGGAGAGAGGACTGGAAAGGCAGATCTATAGTACTGCAGAGGGCTCGAATGTCAGAGTAAAAAGATGACACTCTCTTTGCTGAAGGACATCCAGTAAAAGTTTTTGAGCAGAAGGGTGACATGCATTGTGATTTCGGAAAACCAACATGACAACCTATAGATAATGAATTGTAATGGGGTGAATCTGGATATGAGTGTATTAGTCCGTTCTGGCATTGCTATAAAGAAATACTGAGACTGGGTAATTTAAAAAGAAAAGAGGTTTAATCAGCTTATGGTTCCTCAGGCAGTACAGAAAGCATGACTGGGGAGGCCTCAGGAAAGTTATAATCATGGCAGAAGTTAAAGGGGAAGTAGGCACAACCTACATGGCTGGAACAGGAGGAAGTGTGGGGAGGTGCTACACACTTTTAAACAACCAGATCTCATGATAACTCACTCACTATCACGAGAACATCACCAAAGGAGAAATCCGCCCCCATGATCCAGTCACCTCCCACCAGGCCCCACCTCCATCATTGTGGATTACAATTTGACGTGAGATTTGGGTGGGGACACAGACCCAAACCACATCTATGAGGTTGTGCCAGGGTCCAAGTAACAGATGAGGAGCACCTCAGTCAAGTCCTAGGGTTGGGAATGGTGAGGAGGGTAGGATAGAAGAAGATTGGGAAGGCAGAATTGACAGAATCAGGTGGCTGATTGAGTAAAACACAAAGGATGGGTGCAAAAGCTCTTAGAAATGGAGTTGCCTTGGTAAGTCACTGAAGCCGGGAACTGGAGGGGTTGCAGGAGAGAGAGAGAGGAACATAGGAACAAGGAAGAATAGGTAAAGCAGACTTCAGAGTTAGGAAATTCCGAACCTGTGTAACTTGAAGGACTATGGAGCCTCAGTAGAAATGGGAGGAATGTGTTGAGTGGGAGATTATTAGTATAAGACATGGACTCATTGACTATCACAGCTGGAATGGGACTACTGGATCACATAGTGAGTTTCCATTTGCAATCATGTGTCTAAGCAGAGATATCTAGCAGGCCAGTTGGAAATGTGGGCTAGAGAAACAATATCCAAAGGAGTAGGGAAAAATGAGGATTTTAACCAATAATTGCATTAATTTTATGTTTGTATAAGTATCTTTAGAAACTTAACAAGAAAACAAAGAGTTTTTCCTTTTGTACAGTTAATTGCCCTATTGTCCTGGGAGTAAGTCAACAGGTACATCTGCTAAGAACATACTGTGAGGTGACGTGGAAAGTCCTGCTATAAATACAGATATTCCTCCCATTAAACAAATATCTAAAGTTTTCAACCAAAGGAGAAATCAAATAATGGAGCCCAGCCCAAGTCCCTGGGGCTTCAGAAGCATGATCAAGCTGTGTGCTTTGGTTTGACTCCCAGGTCCCGCCTAGAGTAGTGGTGCTGTCCTCAGGATAAACCTGATAAGAAATGGGTCCAATGGGACTCAGCACCACCAGATGTCTTCAGAGCTACCTCCATTTTCTTCTGCTTTTTACTTGAAGCCCGGTCAGTTGAATAGCTCAATTCCCCTTTTTTGGTGAGTTGAGCAAAGCCCCCTCTAACTCCCTATTCTAGGTCCCCTTCTGAATCTAATTTATGACTTAGTCCCAATTCAGTCAGAGAAGGGGCCAAGCTGGCCCTCAAATGGGGCCTGCAATATGGGAGCCAGAGTGGACAAACAGATGTTCCCTCTAAAAGTGTCTAATAACCAGAGATAAATGTGCAGAAACAGACCCTACCTCTTAGCTCATCTCCTTGTATGCTGTTTCACATTAAGAGGTCAGCTGTAACTCCCTTCAGAGTGCTCCATTTGTTGGTGGGATGGTTGGGTGGTCACCAACAAATAACATTCCAGGGCCTCATAAAAGTTGGTGGAGTAGGTGCACATGTTTCCACAAGGAGAGGGCCCTGCCTTTATTCTGCTACATAGACTGGCTCATGCCTTCCCCAGATCTGAGCAGTGCTTCAAGTCAACAATGCCAGGGCACTAGGCGCTAACACTGACACTTGTGTCCATTTTACTCCCTGGACTGACACCACCAAAGCCCATTCTTGGGGTGAGAGGGATGACTCAGGCCTTGAAGGTGGACTGGTTCATGAACTGAAGACCTGTGTCCCCACCCTTGTTTTTAAACTGTGGCTTGGGCTGTCAGCTGTGCAGCATGAACACCAAACCACAGTGAGCAGAGGCATCCAGAGTTTAGATTCTAACCCAGAAACAGTGCCTAAGGAAAGCACAGCTGGACCAATAGCCCAGCTCCACCAATTCTCTCTCCATTCCTCTGCTTTTTCATCAGGTGGGGCTCATCCAGGCTGGTGCCAAGGTCTTTCTGGAGTAATGGAGCTCAGTATAGCTCCAGGAGACCTAAAGCCTTTGAAGTGGGATCAGAGCTAGAGTCATTAGAACATTTCTATAATCACATGGGATGTTGGATGATCCTGGAAAGAACAATAGAGAGGGCCGACTGCTGCCCCATAGCTCTGTTGAGCTGAGGCTGGGAACCAAGGCAGTCAATACTTCCCTCCTCTCAAAAGAAGTCCCCGCTCTCAAATTCAAGCTTCATCATTCATGAGTTATTTAACTTCAGAAAAGTCACTTGAGTTTCCTAACCTTCAGTTTTCATCATTAAAATGGAGATCAATGAGAAAAATAGGTTAAGCAACTCTGAGCAGGAGGAGAAAGTGGCCCCATCTTATGTTACAGAGTTGTTACAAAGATTAAATGAGGTTAACATACATGGAGCCTGGCAAACAGCGAATGAATGCATCGATGGTTTTCTATTGACAGAAGTCAAAATAAATGACGTACAATTACAATTATACTCAACTACTTAGAGGAATCTGACCACAACATAATAGGGAATAAGAATGCAAGTCCTGGAAGATGAAATGCAGTGCCAGACTCTTTTGGGTTTTTTGGTTTGTGTTTGTTTTTATTTTTGTTTTTGTTTGTTTGTTTATTTGTTTGAGACGGAGTCTTGCTCTGTTACCAGGTTGGAGTGCAGTGGCGCCATCTTGGCTCACTGCAACCTCCGCCTCCCAGGTTCAAGCGATTCCCCTACCTCAGCCTCCAGAGTAGCTGGGATTACTGGCATGTGCCACCACGCCCGGCTAATTTTTTGTATTTTAGTAGAGATGGGGTTTCACCACATTGGCCAGGATGGTCTTGATCTCCTGACCTCATGATCCATCCACCTCAGCCTCCCAAAGTGCTGGGATTACAGGCATGAGCCACTGAGCCCGGCTGCCAGACTCTTTTAATATAGTTAAAATCAAGAACAAAATGCTTTGTTTTCTAGGATTATAGTTTTGAAGCCAGGGAATGCTAAACTCAACATTCCGGATAGGTTACGATCTGGTGGGGAGAGGCAGGGAAGGGAGGGTGAGGACTCATGGGTCAACGTGGGTGACCCTCATGCCCTCATTCTCATGCTGGAGGGTGAGTTTGTAGGTGCTTATGGCACTACTAATTGACTTAGTTATATTATGTATTTAATGAATTAAAACAAAGGAGAAAAAGGTAAAGCCTTTAAGTGCATGGCTTTTATGAAGCACTTAAATGATTTCGTGCTTCCTTCTCCTCTTCACCTGAGATTTTTGGACAGATGAAATCTTCCTTCTCAAGGCAAAATTATTGCTTCAGTAGCTATTTGTTAAGCCCCTTCTCTAGGCCAGGCATTCTCCTAAGCATTCAGGGCAGAGAAATAAACAAGGCACTGATGTAGGAGGCTGGACATGGTGTTCAATCTGGGAGGGGCCCAAATGAGGAGGACTTATAGGGATTCTGGGATCACGGAGACAGAAGAGGCAGGAGGTCACAGAGCACACTTGGGAGACAGACGTGGGTGTGAGTTCCAAGTGTGCCACTCGCCAGCCATGGGGTCCTGGGACAGTCACTTCACCTCTCTGTTCATCAGTTACTTCATCTGTAAAATGGGAACTCAGAGAACAATAACATGCTCCAGATGAACTGAATGAGCCCGGGTCCTTCTATACC